>NC_000005.10:166064354-166367384 GCF_000001405.40 Homo sapiens | reverse complement strand
TAATGAAACCAGAATAATATTCTTTTTCTCTGTGGGTTCCTATAGCTCTTTAGGTATTGTGCTGTGACAGCATTTACCACGATGTTCTGGAATTACCCACGTGTGTACCTAGTTTCCGTGTGAGTATAATGAGGATGAAGAACTATGTCATGTTCATCTTTCTCCTTACACTTCCATTCACAAAGCCTGACATGAGTTAGTGCTCAATACATGTCAAATAAATAATTGACTGCTTGAAAAGAATTTATACTTTTAAAATGTCAAGGTAAAATATTACTATCAAATATTATTTCATAACATATTTTCTTATTAAAAATGCTGCACATGCTCATTGATGAAAATATGGATTAAAAAGAAAAATTATGGGCAACCACAACGTTACTGCAATAATTTTTAAACCTTCGGTTATTTCCTTCAACTTTTTTTTCCCTTTGTGTAGGACACAAAGACATATACTGCTTTTTCACTCCAAAATCTCACATTATATCACATTTAAGTTTCATTAGCCTGCTTTTTACACTAACTATATTGAGAAACTTTTTCTATGTCAGTGCATATTATCTTACCTCATTGGTTAACAAAACACACTTTTGCTATGAAAAACTTTGAGCATTCAAAAATTAGAGAAAACGATATAATGAACCCAACTGTATCCAATGACCAAGTTTAACAATATCAATATTTTTCCATTCTTCTTTTATTAAGTCTGTCATATTTATGTTTCTCAGCACATCAGTTTCAATAATGGTATTCTATTCTGTTTTTTAATGGACAAAAATTATTTAACTACTGTACTATTTTTAGCATGTAAAATATTATAAATTCCCAGTGTTCTAAATAATGTGGAAACAAACGATACTACAGCTAAAGTTTTGTTCTTGTCAACATTTGTCTTCTGATAAATTCTTAAAAGTGGAACTGTTAGATCAAGGACCTTGCAAAATTGCATTTTGCTGTTTATTGTCAAATAACCCTCCAAAATTGTTGTACCTATTTATAATCTATTTATGTTATAATTTATTTTTTGCCAAATTGATAAAAATATATTTTATTACTGTAATTTAAGTTTCATTACTTGCATTTTTCATGTTCAATAAATATTTAATATGCTTTTCTTTGAGAATTACATCTTTCTGTCTATTGGCCATTTCTATTGGTATACTTGTCTCCACTTACTGATTTATAAGACTTATTTCTATCTCAAGGATATTAACATTTTGTACCATAAGTCGCAAATATTTTAATCCATTGTTTATTTGCCATTAATTTTGTCATATGAAAACTAAATTACCATATGGTTATATCTGCCAATGTATTGTTCCTTTATGGTTTCTGTTTTTTATTTCATTAAAGCAAAGTTTCTCCATTTGAATGTTTTATATATATATATTTGTATTTGTCTGTACTTCTAATACTTCTAGTTTTTAGCATGTATATCTTTATTTCATCTGGAAATTACCTTGGTATAATTCACAAGGTGGGGATACACATGTATTTTTTTTTTCAATTACAAGGGAATCATTCCAATGACATCTATTTTTTTATCATTATCATATATTAAATACTAATATATTGGGATAGAGTTTTGAATATTATGTAGTGTGGCCCTGATCTTTCTCAGATATTGACTTGTCAGTACTACATCATATTATTAGGTTAGTGCAAAAATAATGGCAAAGACTACAATTACTGTTGGACCAACCTAATGTTATTGCTGTTGTTATTATTCTGGTGGTGATTGTGATTTTATGCTACAATATCTGGTTAAACAATTTCTTATCCACTAGTTTCTTTAAGATTTTCTTTGCCAACATCTTATATTTAGAGTCCAGATAGCTTCCAGAATTATTTTCAATCATATCTCAGTTTTTTTCTTAAAACCTTAAGTTATTTGGGGAAATATCTTGCCTCTTTCACGTTGCTCCCACGTCTGTATGCTAAACCCAGGGCCAGCTGACGACCTTTGTGAAGAAGATAAAACTGTTCCTAGTCATTTACTGCCACTCATGCCTCTGTCACCTTCTGTCACCCCAGATGCCTCATGATCTTGTCTCACTAGGATCTGATCTCTCTAGGTAGCTGACAACATAATGTTGATTTACCAGTGTCCTAATACAGCAACCAAATGAATGAGGGAACAGACATTGTCTCAAGAGCCTACTTGCACCTATGAAACAGACATCTTCTAGAAACGTAATTACTTAACATAGTTTTCTCTAAATTTCATTTATTTCTATATCACTTTCTCTTTTATTGCCATTTCCACATACAGTCATACTATTAATTGCTTAATAATTTTTAAAGTAATTCACTCTTAAAAATAATGCAAATGTCTACTTTAGCTTTGTGCGAAAGAATATGTAGGTGATAATGGGTCTGGTTTATTATAACATTTAAAAAACTACATATAAAAATAAATATGTAACTATTTTAAAATGTTTCTCTACCACAGAAGCCATCTTACATATCACATGACACACACGAATCAATTTGGGAAATACTGTCTTAATTCAAACGTTCATACCAGTGATTCCCAAACTTATCTGCACTTTTGATCACCTAGAGATCTTTGAAAAACGTCCAACTCCAAATCACTCCCCAGATCAATAAAAATTACAATAAATAGGGGTGGAACAAGAGCATCCATGTATCTAAAGTCCCCCAGGTAATTTCAATGTGCAGCCAAGTTTGAAAAGCACTGGTTCATTTTGTTTAAGCCACAGCCCTCTGTGCTGTCTATGGAAACTATGTTGGGACTCTTCCCATCCAAAGCGATCGTTGCAGAAGGAAACCTGGACAGTTTCAAAACTCCAAAGTTTTCTAGCTTTATAATCTTGAATTCATTTCTTCAATTCTCAGTTTCTTTACCAATAAAACAAATATAACTTATCTGAGCCTTACGACAGCATTTCTTAAAGCCTCTTTGAGATTTGCCTGCTTCACATTCACCTGCAGATATTTGTTAAGATATGGAGCACTCATCTCTCTCTCCCCTCCTCATCTACTGACACTAAATCTGTGGGGGAGGGACTCAGGAATATGACCATTTACCAAGTGCCCCAAGTAATTTTCATAACCGTAAAGTCTGAGTTATTCTGAGTCCTAAGGATGTGAAAAAGATGATGTATGTGAAAGCACATTACAAACTGATAACACACCCTATTGAAACAGGCTATTATTAAAAAACAAAAGTAAAATGCTACATTCCGTAAAGTCTTCTTACATCTATCCATTCTTCTATCCCTTCTCCAATATTCTATTTTTTATTGGAATGCACAATTGCTTCCTTGGGCAAAGAAGAACTAGAGGGAATACTGCTTGATCTCCTGGCTAGCAGCATTTGTGCGCCTTGGTGGCTGAACACAAATAAACCTCGTGCTAGTAAGCCTTTTCAGAATTGGGTTCCTGTTCCTAACCCTTTATTTCACAAGTAAGCCAGGGTGGATCTATTGTAAAGATGATGCTTTTATCTTAACCAGGGCCGCAAAAATCTGAATTAAAAGTTTGTCCATCCTGCAAGGGAACCAAGGTCTGGATGAGAAACCCTTGCTAGATTTTGCACACTTAGGTGCAGATGCGAAAAGATTTGTTTTTGTCTTAAACTTTATTAATCATTTTGTCACCAATGAAACTATAGCAGTGATTAATCACGTATGTAATCTACAACAGCTCTTCTGTTGGACTTCTAGTCCTAGTATAAATTATCGTGTCAAGGGTTAATCTATTTTATTTGCTTTAATCCTCTGTTTTCATTCTTTTTCTATTTCCCCCAAACTGCACCCTGTTTACTCAGCTTTTATGCAGAAGGGTTCCAATTGTCTGTTTGACAATTGCAATCTGAATGATTAATAACAGAGATGGAAACTTGACCAAGAGTTCAACAAACCATGAATAAAAACATTGAGCCCAAGGTCAGCACAGGTTACATTTATGCTCTATCCAAAAAAAAAAAAAAGAAGAAGAAAAGCAAAATAGAGTAGGGTGGGGGTGAGGGAGAAAAGCAGTTTCTTCAGGCATTAATGCCTTCTCCCTGAAGATAATCTGAATACAGCTTGTCTGGTCATTTCCCCCCAAACAGGGCCGTCTGTTATTAGACTTGCTGTGTAGGCCATGCAGCCTAGTGGAACGGCCCACTTCAGCAATTTCAAATCACAGTTAAATGCTGATGTCTCCAGGGCTTTGACTACTGCAAACAAAGTGAACTGGCAAGTTGCATAAGTTTCCCTAAAGTGTGCTATAGGATCATGTAAATTTCTCATGATGGCTATTAGGCGGCCTAAGTTCGAGTCAGAATATTTTGCAGTCAGTGCTACTCACGGGGCCTTTTGTTCAGGGCTGAGAGGGTGCCTATCCCAAACCAACAAGTACCAGTACAGGGTATCATTAATTCAGCACCTGGCAATCCAGATTTTCAAACTTTTATGTATCTGATGGAGGATTGCATTTAATGTGAATGATAGACTCTTACATTGCAGGGGTAATATTTTAAACAGAAGGACTAGTGCGCAAAGCCACTGGATACCAAACACTCAATAAATATTAAGTAACTATAAGGAACTCAAAGGGTGGGTCCAGTAAGTGGAGAAATGAAACTCAGCCACCATATATGGCAAATCAGATATGACTGAGCATAAAAAAAACATATGGCAGAATTTTCTAAAAATTGGTCATTATGTGAAAAAGTGTACAATTTGATAATGTTCAAAAGCTTGTTTTGGCCCAACACAAAGTTAATAAAATAGTAGGCTCATTAATTTGACAGATATTTAAGATGTGGCTTTGTGGCAAACACCAGGAGTGCCAGAGTGAAGGAAATACACAAGGTGTTTGCCCTAAAGGAGCCTATATTTGATAAGATGAACAATCAAACGGCAATAGTAATCAACTCTTCTAGTTCATTAAGAGAGCAATCCTAAATGTCACATCTACTTTTGATGCAAACAGGAGGCAGGAAAATACTGGGTAGAAGAGGGTGGTTCCCCAGCAAATGCCCCACCCTCAAGCCTGGAAACCATAACCCTAAATGAGAACGGCTATCCCTGTTTTCCCAACCAAATGTTGCTTTTCCCAAAATTGCCCTGGCCTGCCACACTCCCCATCCTGTACCCATAAACCCCCCAAACTCTGCTAGCAGAGCAGCAGAGAAGTGCAGCAGAAAAGGAGAGAAGAAGTGTCTGAACGTCAAGAAGAGTTGGGCTAGGGACAGCCAAACTCCAGGGGAAGATTATCTTCCCACTCCATCCCCTTTCCAGCTCCCCACCCTGCTGAGAGCCACCTCCATCACTCAATAAAATCTTCGCATTCACCATCCTTCAAGTCCCTGTGACCTGATTCTTCCTGGATGCTGGACAAGAACCCAGGTACCAAGAGGGCAGAGTGTAAAAGGCTGTCACCCTGACTCTCTACTGAGCTAGATAACACATAGTCATCCATGGACGGCAACTGCTAAAAGAGCATTAATTGTAGCACACCCCTAGATGCTGCCATGGCTCTGGAACCCAAAAGCACTTACCCTGGCCCTGGCACCCACTCGCCTGTGTGCGTCCCATCCTGCAAGTGGTTTGAGCATGGTAGCGGCCAACTAAGTGAGTCACACCTCTGTCACAAGTCTTGTGAAGGGGTCAAGGGAACCCGCCAGTCCCACTTTCACCAGGGACCACTTGGCATGGAGAATTCGTCTTTTGAGTCCCACCCTTTTATATGTCAATCAGCATAAAGTGAAATACCTTACCCACCTTATAGACTAAATATTTGCTGATCATATGACAGCTAACCAGTGGCATTTTGAGCGTAATAGTTAAGTTGACACAATGAAATAAAATCCAGGATATTTTGTGATCAAAATAGGCTAAGGCAGAATTTAAACAAGATAAGAATTAAAGATAAACTGAATAAAGTATTATAGGCAAAAACTCTCTTTTCTTTGACTTCATTGAATGACAAACACATTTCTGAGATGTTAATAATGACAAGATGTCACTTTTATTTTGTTAAATAGATTCTTTTCAATCCATATTTAAGTTCACAGAAATACTTTCAGTGATCATTGCTAAACATGCCAAGTGCATTTTATAAAAGCTGGTATATATGTTGATAGGAGTAAATGTCTATATTTGGGGTGTTTTATTTAAACATAGACATTCAGTGATTATCACAGTTACTATTCATTTCAATTGGTTGGGGGGATACTACATAAATACAAGACCAGTATTTTTATTTATAAAGGAGGAAGTATGCTTTTTACATCACAGTTCAAGCCCATCATATGAATTCACAATAGCCTCTATTTCTTTAAACAAAAAAAGATTTTAAAACACACAAATATATGTAAAGACTCATGAGTAGAGCTACCTGAAAACAGTTAATTAAAGGAGGAGATACTATAAGTATAGTTAATTAAAGGAGAGATACTATAATTTAACAGAATGATTAGTCAATTCAGATATTACAAATACATTTATTAATGAATGAAAATGTTTAACACTCGGGGGTGCTAAGAGAGGAAGAGTCAGTTGTTTAGAATCTCTTTCATTGATCAAAATTATAATTGTTATTCCACTCTCTGGCAAAAAGACACTGAGTGGAAGGGAAAGACTTCAGTCATTCTGGATTTGTGTCCTGTAGTCAATAATTTAATAGTAACAACAGTAACAATAACAATAGTTATCAATTCTATAACCAATATAGCAAGGACACTGATAACAACAACAGCATTCATAGCAACTCCCATTAACAGAATGTTTATTAGATGCTTGCACATGAAATCCACGTCTTGCAGTTAACCCTGTAACATCCCAGCACAAGAATGGAAACACATGCTCTAAAAAGATACTCAGAGAAGTAACTTACATTGTAGCCTACACTGGTTGTTTTTATATTCCCTATTTTGATTTCTAGGGCTGTATCTTCATTCCTACTTCCATTTCTTTCTAATACATTACCCTAGCTTAGTTTTCAAGGGCCCTTTTAGTGATTGTCTCTCAATGACCTTTTCTACAATCCTTCCAAGAGTGGGCAAGAAAAAAATGTATAATTGTCATAGGCTAGGAGAGAAGAATAAGATATTAGATAGTTAGCAAGTTTCAAAAGATACTCTTGAGATCTAATGCTGAATTGTATAATGCCAACAATTCCTATTGTCATATTTTGGAAGAGAGGAAGTATAGTGAGAAAAACGGCCTGACTGAAAGGAAACATGGAGCTCAGTCCCAATCACGGATGGCCTGAAATTCAGTTAGAGTCCAGATCTAAGTGTAAATCTTTAGGGGACACTGAAGGTTTAAGGGCAAGATTGAAGTAGTGTTAACATTTGTACTGGGGCATGGAAGTGAACCTTTTCCCTCTGGCTTTACTAATTTTAATACCTATCTGTGCTTATACAACCAATAAAATTGTGCATATTTGCCACAACCATGCAAACCTCAAATGCTACATATAATGACATTCGGTTAGCTTACTCAAAATAAAAATTATTGCACCCATTATAATGAAATCTTTGCCATTATCCATTCTGCATGTCCATATTAACTGTTCCTAAATTCTGTGTGTGTGTGTTTGTGTGGATAATTACTGTATCAAAATGCATGATATCGTAAGGACAAATTTCTTAGCAAATCTGTGAAAGGAATATATAAGTACTCAGCATCTGCCACTGAGTTTGAACTTTCCAAAAGCCACGGGGTCTAAACAAATGCTTTTAAGGATGAATCACAGATTACATTTACTTAACAAGAATACTAAAATCTATATGGACTTTTAGCCGTCAGGTGTCTTTTAGCAACTCTTTATTATGTGATTTACTTTCTTTTGCCATTCTTAAACAGGTGATTTTATTTTTGTAAGGGGAAAGACAAGTTTTCTGTTATTTGAAAGTCCAGACCGTTTCGTTTGAGCCCAAGTTCCGAAAGAACATAAACATCTCACTTGAACCCACAGCTTTGAAACTAAGAGAGGTTGGACTGAAACAGATGATAGGACAGGTTCTAACCTTCTGGGAGTGCAGAGTCTAGGCTGGGGGAGTTGTGGCACTTGTTGGTCAACAGTGGGAGGAACTGGATAGGACACAGTATAGGGCCAACATTTGACTACCATCTATATGGATATTATGGTCTATTGAGCAGCCTTGGTACCGGCTTTCACACCATTAACACCAGTGGCTTTCCGTCTTCATCATTTTACCAGCTATAATACCATGAGAATGTACTGAAGAGGCACCATTTTGAAAGAGTGATCACTTTCCCAGCTCCATCTCAATTATGCTTTAAGAATGGAAGCCACCTAAAGAGTAATTTAGTAGTAGTTCTCAAACTATGTTCTTTCAAGTTTATAATGGTCTCTTTCACCACCATGAAAGAATTTGGAGTTATCTGATGAGATAGATCCCAGGAGGTAGGATTTCAAACATTCAACCTCTTCCTTAACCAGTCATTCTCCTATTTTCTGCTTTAGATATTCAGATTGAATAAATTTCATTAAAAAAAAAAGAAAACTAAAAGGTGTGTGCTACTCTTGCTCCAAAAGAAAAAAAGAAACAAAGACAAGAAACATGTTTGTAACATTCGATTTTTAGGACAGTGAAACTATTTTGTATGATACTATAATGGTGGGTACCTGTCATTATACATTCGTCCAAACATAGAACTTACAACACCAAGAGTGTCAATGGCATGTCTATGTTGGTTTCTCAATTGTAACAAATGTGCCATGCTGGTAGGGAATGATGGTAATGAGTGTGACTGTATGTGTGAGGGCAGAAGTATGTAGGAAGTCTCTGTACAGCAGTCTTTCCCCTTATCTGCAGTTTGTGTTACCCATGGTGTAGTACAAAATATTTTGAGACAGAAAGAGAGAGAGAGAGATCACATTCACATAACTTCTGTTATGACACATTGTTAAAAATGTTGTATTTTGTTTTTAGTTATTGTTCATCTCTTACTGTGCCTAATTTATAAATTAAACTGTATCATAAGTATGTATGTATTATAGGAAAAAACATAGAATGTATAAGGTTCAGTACTATCTGAGATTTCAGGAATTCTTGGAATTCCTTGGAATTCTTGGAATGTAGCCCTGAAGATAAGGGAGGACTACAACACTTTCCACGCACAACTTTGTTTACAAGTTTGTTGTGAACCTAAAACTGCTATGAAAAATAAAGTCTATTAAAAGAAAATAAAAACAGCTACACTTTTAAAACCATTGATCTAGTCTCATGGAAGAAATGATCCCAGAGAGGATGAATGCTTTGCCGTAAGTCACCCCTCTCATAAGTATCATCTCTGATGAGTTTCCTGGGGTTGTGATTTTAATATTGTTTCAAGACACGATCACATTTTACAGAATGGCAAACGCAATGATCTTTTTGTTACATGAACTGTTTCTACATCTCAGATAAAACATGTGCACAGGAAATGAGGCTCCTTCTTCTTGGTCTACTGTTTCTTTACCACACTTCACTGCTATTTAAACAGCCAAGCCTTAAGGCTGAAACTGAGCTTTTAGGAGGTTCTAATTACATTGAAAATACGTTATATGAAATACGACATTAACTCTATGGTAAATATGAGTATATACAGAGTTGATAGGGGCAAATAGAACCCAACATGGGTGAGGGTTAGAAGAATGGTAATAGGAACAGTTATGTCTAGAGAGGGTGAGGTAGGTTCAGGAAGCAGTTTGGAGGACTAATCTACCCAGAAGATCCTAGGGGGATGAGGCTTGAACACACACACACACACACACACACACACACACTCTCACTCACAAACATACACACACCATCCTGGGGCAGCAGTCCTCAAGACATTCTTAACACAAAAAATAAATAGAAACTGGGGCCAGGTGCAGGGGCTTTCACCTGTAATCCCAGCACTTTGGGAGACCAAGGCGGGCAGATCATGAGGTGAGGAGATCGAGACCATCCTGGCTAACATGGTGAAACGCCGTCTCTACTAAAAATACAAAAATATTAGCCAGGCGTGGTGGCGGGCCCCTGTAGTCCCAGCTACTCGGGAGGCTGAGGCAGGAGAATGGTGTGAACCCGGGAGGTGGAGCTTGCAGTGAGCCGAGATCACACCACTGCACTCCAGCCTGGGCAACAGAGCGAGACTCCATCTCAAGAAAATAATAATAATAAAATAAATAAATATAAACTGCTTGGGACTTTGTACCTCTTTCCTTGCAACCAGAGTATAAGAAAAAAATTCAAATAGTTCTAGACTTAAAATTTAACAAGTGCCTTTTGTCAAATGACAGACGGACAGTTGTAATTTTTAGTAATTGGATGCCCCTCATTATTACATAGGGAAAGGCCTGGCACAAATACAACATGTAGGAACAGGAATCCTTTCTAGAGTATGGAAGAGTTGAACTTGAAAAATAGAATGATGAAAACTTTTTTTCATTGACGTTTTCTTTATTTCCTTGCCAAATATGAGGCCCAGGTGCTGCTGAAGCAAATCAATCACTGAGGACAAGTACAGATGATTAGTTCTTATATATATTTTTAAACTCTTGGATAGATTTTCATTAAATTATTATGACTTGATTTCATGGGCCAATTTCTCATGACTTACTAGAGTTTAAACCCAATACATTGTATGATTGGGAAATGATGAGTTTCCTGGAATTGTGATTTTTAATATTGTTTCAGGACACAATATCACATTTTAAAAAGTAATGATAAAAAGTGATATTTTTGTTGTGCGAAATGTTTCAGAAACACACATAAAAACATGCACATAGGAAAGCAGACCATGCCCATCTGCTGTTCCTGGGATTAAAGTTAGTATCACCCAATTTAATAAACATTTTCAAGGGGACATATGACAGAGCTTTGAGATTTAGCTTTGGGTATTTTAAGAAGAATGCACACACAAAAATGTTAGAACAAAAATGCATTCACGTATCATGAATACCGTGGAAGAGATGGTTGGGATTGACAGAAGGAGAGTTCTATACATTCCCTATCTAACGTAATGAGCAGCCCCAGGAGGAAAGGCCTCAAACTGAGTTTTTAATAATGATAACCACAGATTCTGGCAGATAGGAAGAAAGAGTCAGTCCTGGGCATGAAAATTCCCATGAGCAAATTCAAATGACTTTATGGTGAGTAAAGGCAAAGGAAGGCAGGCAATTTAGCTTGACTAAAATTGAAAGCCTGGGTCTGGTGGAGGTGAGCGATTAGCAGGAAGCAAATGTGGTAAAGTGTCCTGCATTCTTGGAGCAAGGAGGCAAACGTACCCAAATAGTTAATTCTGTTGATTTCTTTGATTGAACATGATTGTCTCTTGCAAGCAGCAGATTGTTTTTTCACCTGCAGAGCATATGGGTGTGGGGACAGGGGTGTTGTATAATTAGGACATTACAGAATGCTAGACTACATTTTTCATGAAATTAGCTTATCTTTCTTGATTACTTGAGAAGCTACTTCAAAACCAACTCTCTGGGGTTGTGTTAATGAGTACTGTAACCTAGACCTAGTTCTGGGCAAATCAGATCATGCCATTCTCATACTCTTTTCTTAGGGAACTTCAGAAAAGTCCAAGATCTTTAGCCAGGTTTTCAGTCTCCCCCATCACCTGGCCCCTGCTGACTCTGCTGGCTTGTTTTTCCATTTCTTACCTAATTAACTTTTACTTCTCTTTGTAGATGTGGCTCAGGGTTTGACTCCTCTGGGAGGCCATTTATGGTCGCCTGTCACTTCTAGCAGGGTTTTATTCCTCCCTAGTATTCCCACAATAACCTGTAGGTATTTCCATTATTGTATTTTCCACATTATTGTGTGTTATCTGTTAATGTGTTGGTTGTTCCACTAGGCTATCTTGCTCATTGTTATTTCTTTACGTTCCTAGCTCAAGGTTTTCCATATATTTAATAGTCAGTATATGCTTGAGCTAAGGAAGACATTATCCATGAATAGATATGAGTTTTGTTTTAGGCAAATTATCCTTGTGTGGTGATAATGTCCTATTCAGTTGACTGTTTACTAAACTTTCAGCCTTACGTTTTTGAGATTCGGCTAAGATCAATTTTTATAAAACAAAATATAAAATTATCTATAAGTATTTAGATAAGCAACCTGTGGAAAGTCTTAGAAATATTAGCTTTAGCATGTCTACAGTGGAGTACTCCAGTGCAGTACTCCTTAGAGGAGTAATTTTTTTTTTTTTTTTTTTTGAGACGGAGTCTCGCTCTGTTGCCCAGGCTGGAGTGCAGTGGTGTGATCTCGGCTCACTGCAATCTGCACCTCCCGGGTTCGTCCCACTCTCCTGCCTCAGCCTCCCAAGTAGCTGGGACTATAGGCGCCCACCACCACACCTGGCTAATTTTTTGTATTTTTAGTAGAGAAGGGGTTTCACCGTGTTATCCAGGATGGTCACGATCTCCTGACCTCGTGATCCACCCGCCTCAGCCTCCCAAAGTGCTGGGATTACAGGCGTGAACCACCGTGCCCGGCCGAGGAGTACTTTTATACTGGAGATTGTCCTTTGATCTTCCTTCCATCCACATGGTTGTTTTGGGAACTGTTAGGCTGGTTACAATTGTAGCCCATCTTCTAACTACAGTTTACCATTCAATGTGGTCACCTAACCTGAGCTGGAGTGATGATTCCCTCCTTAGGAATTCCATCACAGAATCAAGACAGAGAAAGCTTGTCAATCTCTTTTTGAAAGCCTAGGATATGCGATGTAATTCTTAGATATTATTGGCAATCTGATTTCCTTCCACTAGGACCAGTGAATCATAGAAAATACTTTTACAGAGAGAAAGCAGATATTGACCCTGACCACTGGAGAAATGAGGCAGGATATGAAAAGAAAGTCCTAAATATGTTTGAGTTTGTTGTTTCAGTACTTCAGGTCTAACCATATTCTTGTTCTTGGGTTTCAGGAATGACCTAAGTATCCTAATAATAAATCCATACTTTTGCTTATGTTCCTATGAGTCAGATCTTGGTCACTGGTAACAAAGATCCAAACAATTACAATATACTAGACAGGGTCAACATTTGTCTTCAAATTATGCATTTCAATTATTTTTCTGATACATGACACATTTTCTTAAAATATTTCAGTTGGGTAATTGCGATCTTAATTCTGGCAACTAATTAGTGGAAAAGCAAGGTCTGTGAAAAACAACCATTCCTACACTGCATGTGTAAAGAAGGAAATTAGAGGCAATTTAGAACTGCAGAAGCATAGAATGAATGAAGTCACAACCCTTAATTTTAATGTTCTCTCTTTTAGTTCTCAAAATTCAACTACAATATTAGACCCTTAGTGGGAACTAACATTAAAAGAAAGGGAAAACATTTGTTCTCCAATTAAAAGCAAAATATATTTGGAAATATTGGTCAAATTTTACACTTTAAAAATTTGCCTAGGGTTTTTCTGTCATCACCTTATCTCATTTGAGTGATGATTAGAAATTTTTGTAGAGTCTAATTCCAGTAATAATCATTTCTCTTTGTCACTGGAGAGTCTTTCCCTCCTCAACACACATCACAAACATTTCTTGATTAAACCTTCCAACAATTCTTGGAAGGAAATTGGGTGATATTTTCCGTGACTGCATGGTCTCTGAGGAGACTATCTATTGGGATAAACCAATTACAAGGACAGTAAGTATATCTATCTGCGAAAGGATAGAAATCACAACATCCTGAAAGTCTTCCTGCTAGACTCATCAGACAGGAATTCACTGCCAAATGAACATTTAGCTAATTCCCTAATGAAGGTCTGGCTGTGATTATAAAATGATAGCAATAAAGGCATACAAGTTTATCCAATAGGTTTTTTTCCCCATACTACTTTGTGGTTACGTGTTCAAACTTTTTTTATTTCATTAAGATATTGATCTGTAAATACTTTTCTTTAGGTTGGAACCAGATACCAACCAACCTTATATAAGCAAGCCGAGAAAGAGAGCGAGAGGAAGAGAGAAGGAGGAACAGGAAGCAAGAAACATCAGGTTCAGACTGTACTTATTTGTTAATTAATACATGTCATCATAGGCTGAGTAATGAGGACAAATATACATTTTATCATCTAATAATAAAAATACATTAATATATATTGTTCATTTATATTGTACTATTTTTCAGTATCATTTTATTTTATTCTACCTAGTTGGAGGTCAAATATGTAGAGATAGATTATGGTATGCATACATTTTGCATCATGCATAATCAGACAATAACTATTTTACAAATATATATATACATATTTATATATACATACACACCTATACAATGGTGAGAATAATCTAATAGCATCTTCATTTTATGGATGAGAACACTGGGCCAAATTTACTAACTCATAATTATTCAAACAATTTTTGAACAATCTAAAAGATTTCAGGTTTTAGGTTAGGTTATGGAAACTTCATATTAAACAAAAGGAAAACAAACACACAAATAAAAATAAATGGATCTTCCATCTAGTAAGATAGGGTGAGTGAAGTGACTCACTCTATGCTTTTTTTTCAGATACACTAAAATTACCTTTGCTGAGAAGAACAAGGCTTTGAGACCAAGCATTCACTAAAGGGATAATGAGATGTTCAGTTAATATATTTCACATTTTTTAAGGACGGAGTAAATAATAACTTACAAATATTTGGGGGAAATCAAAGAGTAGAAAAAGACTACAGTGGATCTTTCCTACACTGTACTGCAGATATGGGTATATTAGCAGCCTCAAGGGCTTTCTACATGTTATATGATTTTCCTTTATTACATGGTCCAGGCTGTTGGCAACACATGCACTTCCATATGCTTGTTGACGAAAGGTGCATGTGTAATCTCTGACAACTCTGGCAAACCTGCTAAATCAATGTTCAGAAGATGTTGGTTTGACCCCAGCTTTAGAAGTGGTGGGCACGCTTCACTGCTGGATCATCTGTTGCTTATTTTAAAATTCACATTTGTTTATGTCACATGAAAATGTTCATTGCTAATAGCAAAACTCAGTGTACAGTTGCATGAATTCATATGAATTCATATTAGTCCATATTTTAGATAGAATAAAAAATAAGGTATTGACAAATGCAATTCAATAAACTTTGGCATTGTGGTGGCAGCAATGTATAGTCAATCAACCCTAGGGAGCATTTTGTACGGCATTCTACAAAGACCCAAGTTCCTGAGATTCTAGGAAAGGCATCATTTTGCAATTTTTTTACTCAGATCTGATTAGACAGTGTTCCGTAGGCAAATTTCTGTAGCATCATCCAATCTCTTCTTTATTCACTGATATGTTTAATGATAAATTGATTCATGCAATTTATTGACATATTTATTCATTGATACATTTAATGATAGGTGAATTGATTCTTTTATTTATGTGTGCAAATATCATCTATTCAGTCACTGCTAGGATACGTCAGGTACTACATCAGATATTGAGGAAAAAAACACAAATACAACATAATATTTACCCATCATTTGTTCACAGTCTAGTAGATATCCAATGGATGACTAGGTAGGTGCAGTAATACTAATGTGCTGAGACTACTTAAAAAGTTCATAGAAAGGGCCTGGCTCTGAGGGGTTCAGCATGGGCCTGAAAATATATTCTCATGTAAGAATCTCAAACCCCTCAATGCAGAAATATTTTGCAAATGTATTGTTTTCCCACTGTAAAGAAAAATATTCAAAGGCTTTGAGATTTCCTACGGACTTATAATCAGTCTTTGGAGATTAGAAAAGTAAAATAGAGCCTAGAGTTCTATCTGCCACCTTCGACAAGACCTTCATCTCTCTAAGCCTCAGTTTCCCTATCCTTAAAATGGGGATAATAATAATTGGCTCACTAGTGATTCCTGAAGATTATATATAACAGTAACTACAAAATGCTCATCTTGGTGTATGACATGCAGTTGAAGCTCAACACGCAGTCACTATTATTATTTGCAACAGTTGCTGTAGCTCAAGAAAAATCTTTACGCAAGATTCTGGGCTTAACACCCTGGATAGAAAGAAAAATGGAAAACATTTTTTTCCCTAGATTTATAATCCAATTTAGCGGGTAAGATACAAATATTCAAACCATAGAAAAAAGGCAATGCAAAAATCATGTTCCAAATTACTAGCTAGAAACAGTTGAGGAAAAAATGTTAAACTAATTGTGAAAGCAAGGATGAGGTGTTAGACATACAGAAGGTGGTTATGTTTTGTTCAAGACTCTATCCCCCCAATAAAACAAAACACAACTAAACTCACAAAAACCCAAAAACCTCACAACCACTTAAAATTCATAAAATCTCAAAATTGAACCTTTCACCCAAAGATTTAAAAAGGTTTAATGCAACTTTAGATGATTATTCAATCTCTGAAAAATCACTCAAAATGAAGATGTAAATGGTGTTTTGAAAGCACAATGAAATTATGGTTTACCTGTTCTGAGAGGTTTGTATTGGGAGTAAAGAAAAATGTTTTCTGTCCAGTCCCAATGTGTTTTTGGAACTGTGCTTTCAACCCATCCCCATGATTACTATGGGAAAAGTGAGTTAACATAGTGGCACCTTTTCCACCCCTCTGGGACTGTAGTCATGTGTCCTGGAACAAGTAACTGATCCAACTGGACTAGTCAATACTTTTTTTTTTTTTGAGATGGAGTCTTGCTCTGTCGCCCAGACTGGAGTGCAGTGGTGTGATCTTGGCTAACTGCAACCTCTGCCTCCCGGGTTCAAGTAATTCTCCTGCCTCAGCCTCCCGAGTAGCTGGGATTACAGGTGTGAACCACTACGCCTGGCTAATTTTTGTATTTTTAGTAGCGACGGGCTTTCACCATGTTGGCCAGGCTGGTCTTGAACTCCTGACCTCAAATGATCCACCCACCTCAGCCTCCCAAAGTGCTGGGATTATAGGCGTGAGCCACCGCACCCAGCCTGGACTAGTCAATCCTTATCCTGGGATTTTATTTTGAAATTAAGGTAAGTTAAGTAGGTGCTCACTGTATCCTTACCAATCTGAACTGAACTATATGCTGAGCTTTAATGTTTAGGAAACATGATGACTGGGTTTAACGATTAAGTATATTTTTACTAATCAGGTTGCTACTTTGTAGTGATGAAGAAGTTGTGAATTTTAGCATGTATAATCCAATCACCTTATTTGGGAATTGGTAATAAAGTATGGCTTATATGAGATATCCAATCAGAGATAAAGATAGGGGAGAAGATTGTCTTTGGTAATTTTGTTATAAATCACAAAATGTATGATTTTCATGGTAATGTGTGAGGAAAGCTTAAGATAGATGTGTGTGCTAGATTAGGGTTAAATCTTTTTCCTAGGAGACAATTTGTAAGGGACAATGAAACATTTTTATCTGGTTCTTCTTCTTCAAGAAAAAAGGGGGACGGGGAGACATGTCAGAAGAAAGAAAAAAACATTAACATCAGAACTTGGATTTCATAGAACATATTATCCCCCAATTCAGACTAATGTGTGCAGTATTGTTTAGGCAATCTGAGAATAAGGTTAAAATTGATATTCAGCTGTGAACCAGGATGCCTCTTTCAGGGAGTTCGTTTTCCAGGAATCATAAACTGAGCTAAACTCAGGTTTACACTTCTGAATTCTTTCTAGGGGAGGTCATCTTCTACAGGAAGAAGAAATGTATCACTACCATTTATTTAGCTCTTACCATGGGCCAGAACCAATGACAAATACTTTATGTATATGATAATGCTGGTGAGGATAATGATCATGATGATGATAAAAGAAGATGACAAAAGTAGAAATAAGCAAACATAAAAAATGAAAGATAAAAGCAGACCAAGGAAGAAGAGAAAAGGTGAAGGGAAAAAGAAACAGGGAGAGACCCCAATTAATCAGACACTGCATCTTGTACTTTACATACATTAGTTCATTGATTTCTCACAACTCTAGGCCGTAGTGATTATTCCCACATTTCACAGATGAGGAGTGATGTTCAGAGAGACAAAGAGACTCTCCCAAAAGGAACTGGACAGCTGCTGTTTCTGATGCTTGGAATCAACTCCCTCATTCTCATCCTACCCCCTTCCTCACCCCACAGTTAAGAGCATTCCAGTTTTCCACTGGCGAACTGCCCATCATCCATTCTTATTCTATGGGCTTAAGTTGCAGCTATGGGAAAGAGCATGTGACAGAGATGTGTGCTGTGCAATCAATGCATGCCATTCCTCTGGTTTCAGTTATTGCCCCAGGGAATGCATCTATCAGCTTTAAGACTTTTGTTCAAACTGTTGGGCCAAGAGAGCTCTCTCTTCTACTGAGCTTGAAACTGGGAGCATTTAGGATTTGAACTGTGGGGCTCTATCATGGGACCAAATACAGCCTGGCAATGGGAGGAAAAGAGAGTTGAGATGTTGACAGAGGCTGGAGTCTTGATGACTTATCTAAATCTTGACGCTAACCATGCCTCAAACTTGCATTACTCTGAAATTTTTAGTTATATGAGGAATACATTTTTGTTCATATATAGAATGTATAGTATATCAATTGTATTTCAGCCTGTGTTTTTCTCTCACTGGCAACAGAAAAAAAATCCTGACTGATATGTAAAATAAACTAAAGAGCCAGTGGCAAAGACAGTATTCAAACTAGAAGTCTGACTCTGCAGCTTATGCTAATTATAAAAACCCTGTACAGCTCCCCCAATATAAAGGAGTATTTCTAACACAAAAAATAGGACTTTATAAGAGGACAAGTCCCAAATTTGATTTGGCTTGTTGCAGTACCAGTTTTTCCTTTTTTGGTAAAATCATGAAATAATATTACCTATTATTGCATTATTGTAAGTATTCAAAGAGATAATATGTGTAAAATGCCTTGAATAATTACTGGCACGTGTTAAACAATTTATATTAGTAATTATTATTATTTATATCTTTTTAGAAGTTGAATGTGTAGGAGAAAAACACACTATTTTTATAATTTATGTCTCTCTTAGGTGAGAGGAGTCGTTAGGATATCATTTACCTGTGTCCTTACTTTTACCAGTTCTTGTCAAATCCAACAAAAGAGAAAGAAAAGAAATGCTAAATGCAAACACTTTATCCCTTATACTTTTGTGTATAAGTCTTACCTGGAAAATTCTTTCAAGAGAGTTGCTTTCAAGAAATTAGTTCAAAACTTTGATTTTTGGTATGTATAGGGGCAAGAAAGTCACCGGAGAAACTATCAACACATGACATGAGATTTGAGTAAGCTTTGCAACTTTGAGGGCTTATTTGGATCTATGTACATTCCTGATGCATCCCCCTGGTCTAGTAGTCATGCTGAAACTTATAGTTTTTGTTTGAAATTAAAGTGTATTAAAAAAGAAATTGGAACTTGAGTTGTTTCAAGGGTAGAAGCAACAAGAGATAAATGCAAAGGCAGACCACTCTGGGAAAAAAAATGATTGAGTTAGTCACATGTATGCCAAGCACACAAAATTAATCTGATTCCAGTTGTTCACGGGCAGAATCAAGGTAAAGAGTATGAATGACAAGCTACCCGTAACCCCCATTGGACAGGGACCGCAACATGTCAAAAGGTCCACGTACATTCAAAACTTCAAGTCCCAGAGGCGTACTGAGAAACACCCTGGTAATATTTTTCAAGTCTTTCCTTGAATATCAGTGACATTCTACCAGGAGAAGTGAGTGCAAAAAAGCTTTACTTAATAGCTCCCAAAAGCCACAGGTGCAAGCTGATTTCGAGAGCCAGCCTCTAGAGACAAGCAAACATTATATTACAACGGATGTCATTAGACGTACAGAAGGTAGCATAAAATGCCTAATTTATTCACAAAGTGACATTTTATTTAGTGCAAATAGGCAATTTGGGCATTTACCGGAGGCACTTTCAGTAATAAAGGGGTGTTACTAAAATAGGTTGGAACACCTGACATTGTTGTCTTTATAACACAAGTTGCTGTTCTTTGGCTGTGGCAGAAAAATCACAAAATAGAAGATATCCAGTGTTCGGTAACCTTCTTAATGAACGCATGCTCTTCCCTAGCCCAACATTACATGATACCTCCCCCAGCCAGAAGCTTTGGAGGTCAAGTTACTGTTAGTATTTTATTATTATGCAGCAGTGTTTTCACAGTGACTTTTGCATAGGAGTGTTTTTTGGAGATCTGCATTAATTTACTACTACAGTCAAAGGTTAACTACTATAGTGAATGCTGTGCTTAGTTGAACACAGGGTCACTGTGTATCCTTGCTGCTCTCACAATTTATAGCTGTTTATGGTATCTGGCAGTATGGCTTGATAGTGAGGTCATCCCTAAACATTAGCTACTTTATATATTCCCATCAGCCCTCTGAACATTAAATAACTGCTATATAATTCGAAGAGTGGGAATTTCTTATCCACTTGTGCTTTACATGCTTAAACTTATTGCTGAATGTACACAAAGTGTACTAGGAATCAAATGACATATTTTGACAAGTGGCTCTCAAGTGCACAGCTTAACCATATGTAACCGAGTCTACATCTTGTTGAAACTGTGAGGGAAGTAAACTTTTTTCTCTGCTCTCTTCTTTCCAAGCATGGACCTGTTCCCAACTTAGTCACAAGATTCAGCATAAACTTCCTGTCACGTCCTTGAAAGAGATGTCCACCTCCAACCTTGACATTCCAGGGCTGGCAGAGTGTCTAGTACCTAAGAAGTGCTCAGTATATGTTTTTGTGAGCTAAGCTATGGAAAAACTTTGTTTACCCATTTCTGGCACCTTTTTAATAAATCAATCCTGAGGGTATAAATGCCTTCCAATACTGAAAGAAAATCTCTCATTGTAGATTTTTAGATGCTGATAAGAAGAGGTATTTCAGGCAGGGTATTTTGGTTCAGTCCTTTTATTACATCTTGAGCCAATGCCTGCTGCTAGAGCAAGACCTGAGTGATATCGAACTTGAAAAATAAAACTAAAACCTTACCTCCCATGACTATGTAAACTACCTACATTGCATGCCTTCATGCTGAGAGAAATAACGATTCTTCAAAAAAAGACTTCAAATGGTTGTGAAATATATGTTTCATAATTAGGAAGCTGGGCGAGAAATCCACGAAGCATTTCATGATTATGACTGCTGGTGTGTTTTGTTACAACTGCGGCAGATACCTTTAGGGGCTACGCATGGCCTACCCATGCCAGCTTTTTAGGACACATCACTCCCTCTAAATAGAGCATGGTTACTGCTCTCATGCAGGTTTTCTGAACACCACCTATGAATGTGGAACACAAGTATTCAAAGAAAGTATGAGGTGCTTCTCCACCAGATTTGTGAGCTGCTTAGCATAATAGAGCCACCTGCCAAAGGTGAAGGCCTACTTTCCAATAAAAAGGGAGCCTACAAATGATGGCTGCCCAGGAGCTGTGTTCAGCATGTGGCTTGAGTGGGAATGGTCCACCCAAGACACTGTCTCCTGTCATCTCCTTTCT
This sequence comes from Homo sapiens, assembly GCF_000001405.40. Taxonomy (NCBI): domain Eukaryota; kingdom Metazoa; phylum Chordata; class Mammalia; order Primates; family Hominidae; genus Homo; species Homo sapiens. The sequence goes on along the minus strand of NC_000005.10, from coordinate 166,345,961 downwards.
CCTGAGTCAGCAGGGACCAGAATGCACAGAGATCCTGTATGTTCCTATTATCAAAGAGCACAGATTTGTTGATGCTACTTCCTACTGGCTCACAAGAAAAGAACTCTCAACAAGAGGGATGGGGAAAGTACATTTTGAAGCCCTTTTTTCCTAAAGGACTTTGGAACACATCCCGGCACTGTGAATAAATTCTGAGGCACTAAGGTACTAACAATAGTTTCTGTTGGATAAACTTAGGACAGCAATCAGAAAAAATATATATATTGGATCCTACCTTCCTCTGTGATTAATATGAGTTACTGCTAGTTTATTAGCAATGGCAAATAAAGGCAACTCCTCGGGAGAGAATAGAACCTTAAATTATGCAACTCTCTATGAGTTTCTTTCAGTTTTCTGAAAGCAGTATGAAATTTTTACCATTTCACTCTGTTTTTGATATTGCTTAGATGTGCACATTTCATATGCCTTCATGTCTTCCTTCAGAACTATCAGTTTAATCAGACAATTGGTAATATTTAAGTGATCACAAGTAGAATTATGAAATAATTCCATTACTATTATATTGAAACATGGCATGTTAGGGAAAAAATATCACTCAGGGAAGAATAGCAGTTACAGCATTGAACTTAATATTCAAAAAAATATAAAATAGGAAGCTCTCCTGGAACACATTTACTTGTTGAATTTTGCCTCTTCCCACTCCTCAGATAAATCTGCTGAAAACACTTCAGGAGTCTGTGGCAATGAAACTCATTCCTTTGCGATATCATCAGTGCTGCTGATAAGACTATTATGTTATAATTTCATTGGACACAAAATCTAATATGATTAGATAGACTTTTGAGTTTTTGGTAATGACAACTAGGATTATGATTGTGGCCAATCTAAATGGTATCCACTAGGGTTATATAGTAAGAAATCTTAGAACAGGTTAAATCTATCCATGTCATTTATTATAGGGAGAGAGTATATGTACCAGCCACTACTCCTCAACAATACATGTCAACGATTTTGAATTGCAGTAAAACCAAGATTCCTTAAGGACTCCTATTACAATAAAAGCTGCTAGAAATAGCAATTACTGGGGTACGTGTGTGTATGTCTGTATGCATACCTGCATTCCCCCACTGACTTATAAAACCATAATTCTTTGCATTAATACTGAGGTTTTAGAATCTCAGTAATATAGCCATTGCTAAGACACAACACAATAGGAGTCTTATATGGGAGTAAAAACTGTTGAATAAAGATTAGCCGTGCTTTAAGCAGCATTACAAATATCTGATTCTGCATTTATTTTTCAATTGTTCATAGTGACTCTTTTATTCTGTACTCTGCATGAGGCTTCTATTTGACCCTAGATTGCTCATTATTACAGGAAACACAACATGAAAGCCTACCTTTCTGGGTTCTAATATCCACCAGGAAAACCCTGGAGTTTTATAGAAATAGATACAGGTATTGATTTCTCTCCATAAAGATCACAGGGAATTCATGACTTCTTGGCCACTTTTAATTAGCATAAAACATGCTTTGTTGAGTGAAATCCTGGTCTCTGAATTTTTAAAAGAAAATTATTATAGTCATACCAGAAAGATAATAATCCAGTGGGTCTAGGTAAAACTTTCTTCACTCAAAATACATACTCCCAAACTCTTTATGCTGAAGTTAGCCTGCAAAATACTTTTCATTTTGCCTCATGGTATTGCATTTAGTTTTTCTGTACACTTAAACCATGTCTACAATGGATTGAATGGTTCAAAGCAATACAATGTTATTATAAAGCTTTTGCAAGGCTGTGGTGTTGTTTGTTCTGCCCTTGTACCTTCCTTGTTACCGTGGAAAATGTACCAGTATAAACACTGAGATCTCAGCAGAATAGAGAGGCTGTTTCCAAATGTGTGCCTGGCACAAAGGAAAATTTCACACCAGATTTGAAACTATAAGTTCTCATTCTTGATAAGGAAGCTCTCTATTTTATGGTCGCAAAATATACCAGGACACAAGTTCTTTGCCACCCACGACCACTGCTACTTATGGAAACCACATTTAAAAGGCATCATCTTTAAGATGTTACTAAAAATTTCTCTCTGATGCACTTAATTAAAGTAGACAGACTTCCCTCAGACTTTTGACTCTATCTCTTTTAGAAATTTAATGCAGGCCTTAGTCTTAGTTGGGTACACAGTGTTTTCTAAATGCCAGAGTGCAAGTAGTTGTTTATAGTATTTGAAACACATAACATGCAAAACCTTCTCCTTTTGAATCATTCGGAGAAAGGGAGTTTTCAAAGAGAAAACTGTTCAGAGCTGTATGTCCTTAACACCTCTTTAGTACTTCCAATCTCTCTTTGTAGCAAAGAGATTTTAGGGGGACAGATAACAGTATCTAATCAGAATTTAACAAAATTGTTTTGTTTTGCTTTGTTTTTCTGACTGCAGACATATTCATCAATTGATATTCACATCAACTGATATAACTTAGAATAAAGTTTAATTTTATAATAAATATTAAAAAACAATGAGACAATTGAAAAATACCACTTAACCATTTAAAAACAGGTAGTAATGCATGTGATATACCTCCTCCTGGAGTTTTACATACTGGAGCCCAAATATGCTCAAAGTTAAGAAAGTGGTACATTCATGCCTGCCATTTAGAGAGGACATAGTGCACACAGAGTCAAGCATTTACAGGCCAGATGAGTCGATTGTCTCCTTACATTGTAATGTTAAATTTGGACACAGATTGATTACCTTAGGTGAGTTTGCAGAGGTCAGCTGAAGCCCATCCAAAGATTGTATGGCATCTAGAGGTGAGAAGAAGGTTTAGATCAACTGGAGAGATCAGGCACTCAAGAGTAGCACTCTGTGAATTTGATGTGCATATGAATCTCCTAGGAGATCTTGTTATTAAGGAGATTTTGATTCAATAGGTCTGGGATGAGACCTGAGATTCTGCATTTCTATCTACTGCTCGTCCAGAGTAGCAAGGACACAGAAAGTTTAACACCAAATTACTGGTAATTCTCACTAGAAAGCAATTGAGAAAGAATCTGTGGAAACAGGGCATTAGAGACAGGTCAGCAAGACTAACCTGATTTTATAACTATTACTTGGGCTTTGAAGCCTAGACCTTCGTGTTATAATTCAAGGGAAGGGTGTTACAGCATTGTAATGGAAGGGTGTGCCCACCCCTAAAGAAACAGACTGCTTAGACAGGAGGCAGAGCAGGGGTGAATGTCATGAAGATCTACATTCATATGGAAATGCCCAGACCTGAGGGCAGGAACATGCTGGAGAGCATATGGGTTAGGACAAAGGAAGAGCACAGAAGTGCTATCATTATGAGAGTACGCTGGGACACATGGAGCAAATGCGTGGTGTGTTACTAGACACAGATTGTGAAATCAGTGCAGAGAAAAGACAGAGTAGTGATGGGGATTTCAACTCTCCAGACATCTGCCGGAAGTCTCATTTGGATAACAGCAGAATGTCTAACAGGACCTTGACTTGCTTTGCTAATAGCTTCATCTCCCAGAGGAGAAAATTTCCTAGGGGAATTGCCATTCTGTACTCATTTTGGACAACCAGGAAGAATTAGTTGGCATTTCAAAAGTGCTAAGTAGTTTAGGAGTAAGACATATTTTTTCAGAGTTCATGAGAAGGTGGGAGGAAAAAGATCGTCATGTATACTATAATTTATTCAACTGGATTCCAAACAATTTAGAGATGCTTGACATGAGATCTTTGGAAGGAAAATTTTATCAGCTCTTAAAAATTCCTTTTTAGCTGTGTAATGCCTAACGATCTGAAGGGGAATGAAAAATGGGAGGTACCTAGAAATCATTGAGAGTGTCTAGGGAACACTTTAATGGCCAAAGGCGGACTTGCATTGTCTAAGGAGCTAATGCATCCTCCATTGCTGGATCTCTTTGTGGAGGGAATTGCACACAGCAGTATGGCTGGATGACGTGAGCTTTGCTATTTCTGCACTGGCTATGTTGAGTTGGTTTCATACCTCCAAAGTGCCATACTCTTGCTCACCTCTAGGGCCTCCTACAAGTCTATCTTCTCCAACTGTTGTCCGACTCAGGGACCTTGTCTCTTCTGTCCCCACTGTATTCCCAGCATCTAACAAATGTCTGTCATATACTAGGCATTCAATAAATATTTGTTCTATGAATGAAGCAGACTAGTACACATTATTCTAACCCCTTAAGATCAGCATTTTTATCCTCTTGGGTTTTAACAATGCTTCCTGTACATAGTATGCTGTCGTTTTTATTTGTCGAGTTGACTTATTCCAAACCTTCAACCCCCTCCGGCCCCCACTTCTCAATTCCCCTACTTATGTCCTCAGAGGAACTGAAGAAGACAGATGAACATATTAGTTTGTTCCTTGTCTCTGCCTCCTTTCATTAAACCCATTAGACTACTAAATAAAATATAAAAAGAGAAAAGTAAAAAGATGCAACCATGCCCCCAAAGATAATCAATTTGAATGCTAAAAATGGAAAACAGACAAACAGAAAACCACCTCGAAGTGCTAACTGGGATTGACCTCTCCCATACCTGCTGGGCTTGGGGCCCAGAACAGAAAAGAAGAGGTGATAAGTATGCATACAGTGAAGGTATTAGGGGTGAAAATTGTCCCATACCTCATGGAGACTAAACCAAAGGTCTTTTTTTTTAGATGGAGTCTCGCCCTATTGCCCAGGATGGAGTGCCCTGGTGCCATCTCTACTCACTGCAACCTCTGCCTCCCTGGTTCAAGCAATTCTAATGCCTCAGCCTCCCTGGGACTACAGGTGGGACTACAGGCATGCACCACCACACCAGCTAATTTTTTGTATTTTTAGTAGAGACCAGGTTTCACCATGTTGGCGAGGCTAGTCTCAAACTCCTGGCTTCAAGTGAGCCACTTGCCTCGGCCTCCCAAAGTGCTGGGATTACAGGCATGAGCCACCATGCCCAGCTCAAAGTTATTTTAAAACTACAGGTTGGGGCACCCCTTCTTTGTCTGGGAAACAAAATGTGATGCCTGCAATTACAGCTTACATAAAGTGAAATTTAAAAGGCAAGAACAGTCACAGTCCCCAAGCCAAGTCTGTGCTGGGCTGCCCACTGGTTTCATGACTACATAGATGTGAACATCACAGCAATAGGAATCCCAAGCTATGGCTATAAGACTGTAAGGACTTGGTTTTGGACCAGGGAGCTCAAGAGACCTGTTAGAGGGATGAATGTTGTAGGGTTCAAGGGATGTTTCCATTGAAGAAGAAACTTAAAGCCCAAATTCCAAAACTCATTCAGAAAAAATAACAACATAAAAAAATTGAAAAATGACAATTAGGTGATCAACTCACTCCAATATGGAAATGATTAAATAGTCTGCAAACAAACAAACAAACAACAACAACAACAACAACAAAACTCCACAAACTTTAAACTGAATATGTTTAGGGTATTTCAAAGATAAATGAAGAAATGATGCCCCCAAAATAAAACAGAAATTGTTTTTAAAAATTCATGCAAAGATGAAATAAAAGCAGGTGGGAATTTAAAAAAGAACCAATTAGTATTATTGAAACGAAATGCATAGTCATTGATTTAAAAACAGAAGCAAAAACATTCTTCTAGTGGGGGAGTTGAAACAATAAACAGGTAATTATACAACTATGTTGTGAATGCACTTATGGGCTAAGCAGATGGCATGACACATGCCTTCACACAGCTGGCCCTCATCCAGCTTGGTTGTTGGAGGAAAAGGGGATCAGCAAAATAGAAGGGTTTGAACTGAGACTTGAAGGGAGAACAGAAGTTAGCAGGCAAAGAGAATTTTTTGCCAGAAGTAGAATAAGCAAGGTAGGAAACAGTGTATAGAGGAACCACAAGCACTTCAGCATTATTGGAGTACAAATTATAAGCACAGAACATGACAAGTAGTGCCAGAGAGGGCTCAGTTCATGAAGGACTTCCTATGCTATGTTTGGAAGCATAGACTTTATCTTGTTGGATAACAGGGCAGTCATTGGAAGGTTTAAGTGTGAGGTCCCACAGAGCCAGCTTTAATTTTGAGATGGGTCACTATTTTTTTTTTTTTTTTCAGACAGAGTCTCACTCTGTCCCCAGGCTGGAGTGCAGTGGCACGGTCTTGGCTCACTGCAATATCTGCCTCCCAGGTTCAAGCAATTCCCCTGCCTCAGCCTGTCAAGTAGCTGGGACTACAGGTGTGCACAACCATGCCTGGCTAATTTTTTGTATTTTAGTAGAGATGGGGTTTCACCATGTTGGCCAGGATGGTCTTGATCTCCTGACCTTGTGATCTGCCCGCCTCGGCCTCCCAAAGTGCTGGGATTACAGGTGTGAGCCACTGCACCTGGCCGAGATGGGTCATTTTTAATGACTGGGTGGAGGATAAACTGGAAAGGTCCAGGAAGATCAGAGTCATGGAAATTAGATAGAAGGCTGCTCTAACAGCCCCACTGACAAATGATGAGCAGAGCCATTTTCTCATTCATCTTTGCCCTCTCACAGCTCAGCCCAGAACCTGGCACAAAGTAGGTGCTTAAATCATGTCTGAGAAGTGATTTTGTTTGTCTTGAAATCAAATCGTTTCCAAAATTAATAGAGATGAAGTTACCATTTGTCATAGATCCATAGCCAGAAGCAGTGCGTGTATGGACAGATCAGCGGGATTCCCGATCAACATAAACCCCTCGCACGGGTTTCAAAATGATAGCTGGATGATACCGTGTTCTACATGACTTATTTTAATCTCATAGTCCTGGAGATCAACTGGCCATTGGCTGAGGATTGAAATGATATTTGTCATGACATGATCTGAGATGGGTCCAGAATTTTTTGGGGGTTGGACAAATCTCAAGCCAAAGGATCAGAGGAGCATTCCATTCTCATTATAACACCAGTGTGAGGAAAGTGGTGAGAGAAAAATACATGTGGTACAGAGGGCGGGGAAAAGAAACCCACAAAGAGATAAGTATGTGTAGTGATGCAAATGCCCAGCATGTACGGCCCACGTTTCTGCCTATGGAATTACACGAGGTTCTTTACTGCTCCTAACTGTTGGCACGCAGCAAATGTAAAATATTAGCAATAATAATTACGCTGTGCATATGCCTAATGTCTATCAATAAAGCCATGACTCTTAAATTCCCTTAAGCTTCTTTCCATTAGAAGCAGTAAATTAAATATATATATTCAAACAAATTAAACGCTGCTAACAGCTTTTCTAATTTGTAAACACTTGCATAAACATGAGCTTTATCAAATGCTTAATTAATCTGAAATGCCAACTTAAAAAGTGAAGTAATGAACAATAAGCATATTACTACCTTAGGATGTTATTCCATCTGGATGTTTTTATAAGAATTTTAAAGATATCCTTCTGTATAAACCAGTTAAAGTCACGAGAAATCAATCAGCTCTCAGGGATTAAGAATAGTTTGAAGTTGACCAAGGATGGTTAGCTTTCTGAATAAACTATCTAATGAAAAAGAAAATCTAATAAACTTTTAATAAGCAAGTAGCTTTTAAGTCAATGAAAGCTAAATTTTATACATTTGAGCTTTTATTTATTGCGGTATAGTCGACCATTTTGCTATAAGTTTGATAGCAGACATAATTGATTTGTAGGACTCTAAGTATAATTTTCTAAACTTAGGTTTCTATATTAGTCCTGTTTTTAACCTATTAGCAATTATTTCATTTTAATACTCTTCTATAATTGTTCCTTTTCAGAAAATTTTGATACAGATATTGTATATGATTCATAAGAGATGAGAGTTGTTGCTTTTAACAAATTCATCCTTCGATTTTCATTATGCACATACTAGGCATTCAAAACCATTCAAATTAACTACTATGCAAGTGAATACATATACGTGAATTATCTCAAATGGGGGAAAAAGGGCAACTTCTCCTGTATAATATTTATTTGTTAAATGGAGTTTGCAAATAAGGAAAACATCCAACAACATGAGAGCCCCAAATGTATTACCCTGGTCATGAGGAAATCTCTAAAGTAATGTTAGCTGAAGGATTATACATGCTTAAAACTAGAATGACCCTAAAAAAAATCTACTCTAAACCCACCCATTTCACAACTGCAAAACTGAGCCTGAGAGAAACAGGAATGAAATTACCCAAAGATACAATGATTAATGACAGAGGTAGACAAGAAACCTGTCTGTCCCCATTGCTAAGCCATTGATTGATCTTCCTATAACATGTACAATACCCTGCCATCCCTTAAAATACTCTCCTATCCTGAGACACAGATAACCATCCTTCTAGGGCAGTCTTTTGGCGTTTATGCTCCTTTCTAATAGCAGTATGACTTAGACCAATCTTTCTAGCCTATGGATGAGAACGTTATGTGGAGAGAATCAGAAGCCTCAGTGAAATCGAGGTAGATTACATCTATTGTTTCCCCTTTATCTCATGGCCTGCCACTCTATCACAGAAGGAAATTAAGTTGGTCTGGCATGATTCACTCTTGACAAAACCTTGTTTGCTACTCAGAACTCTGTTCCTTTCTAGGGGATTGCAATATAATTGTGAAAATATAATTTCTTTCATTATCTTCTTGATTGTTACCACTGAGCTGACCAAACTAATTAGTGGGGTGCTTGCTTTTCAAAATACCTATTTTTAAGGCAAGGGCTAAATGTGCTCTTTTCTTTTGGAGCCTTTCTTTGCTATTAAAACATTCTACCAACTAATTGTAGGGTGTTCTGCAAAACTATGCACCAATCTCTGAGTATGTAGAATTCATGACATCAGCCCCTGCTGATGTTAATAGGCAATGATTGGTAAGTATCTTCAACTATTTTCTATCTTTCCATCCTTTAGCTTCTTCTTTTTGCTCCCGTCTTGACTCTCTGGGCAGCACTCTTCCTGATTATCTGTCCCAGATAAACTTTTTCTTACAGACAGAAGCAAAAACAAAACAATGAAACCTCTTGAGATTTTGTTTTTTATTTTCCCCCCATTTGTCTGTCATCAGATTTCTTTCCCTTCCTATCAGCACTTGACATTTTTCTTGATTCTGTTTTGCTTTATAGAATTGAGAAACCCTTTTCCATTATCTCTTTTACTTTTTCTTTCACTCTTATGTGTGAAGAGTGTCACTTTCTCTTACCGAAGAACAAACAATCTCAGCATGCTGCTCTTTCTCCCACAATAGTTAGTTGTTTAAGAGTCTTACCCTATTGCTCCACTGGCACAGGGGTGGAGCTAAAACTTCATTCATTCATTCACTTATCGACATTCATTTATTCAACAATCATCACTGAATACTAACTGGGATGTGCCAGGCACCATTTTAGCTTCAGGGAATGTTTACAATCATGAGACCATTACCACAATCAAGGTAATGAACATCCATCACTTGTAAAGTTTCCTTTTGCCCTTTGTTTTGTGTATTTTTTTTATTGTGATAAGAACACTTAACATGAGATCTAATCTCTTAAAAAATTTTAAGTGCACAATATGGTATTGTTGACTATAAACAGGATGCTCTACAGAAGATCTCTGGAACTTATTCCTCTTGCATAACAAAAACGTTATACCCACTGAATAGCAACTCCCCATTCCTCCCTTCCACCAGGCCCAAAACAACCACCATTCACCATCTGATTCTGTGAGTTTGACCATTTTAGATACTTTGTATAAATGCAATCCTGTAGCACAGCATTTGTCTTTCCATGCCTGGCATATTTCACTTGGCATAAAGTCCTCCAGGTTCATCCAAGTTGTCACATGTGGCAAGATTTTCTTCTATTTTTGAAGGCTGAATAATATTCCATTGTGTGTATATGTCATATTTTCTTTATCGATTCATCCACTGAAGGACATTTAAGGTGTTTCTATATCTTGGCTATTGTGAATAAAGCTGCAATCACCACGGGAGTGCAGGTATCTTGTTGAGATCTTGATTTCAATTATTTTGGATGTATAGCCAGAAGCAGCACTGCTGGATCATATGGTGTTTCCATTTACATTTTTTTTTTGATGAAAACAATTAAATGAAATCCAAACTGTTTTCCATAGTGGTTGTACCATTGTACATTCCCACCGACAGTGTACAAGCATTGCAATGCCTCTACATCTTCACCAACAACTTATTTTGTTTTGTTTTGTTTTCTTTCTTTTTTTTTAATAATAGTCACCCCAACAGGCGTGAGAGGTAATAGTTCATTGTGTGGATAATCCTTTTTTGTGACAGACTCTCAGTACTCAAAGCTAGATCCTATTATTCTCTTATTAGACAAAAAAAAAAAAAAAAAAAAAAAAAACACAGAATAACAACCTCAAACCAGATTAGTCTCAGGCCATGATAAAATAAGACAAAGTAAGATCATTTATAACTTCCTTCTAGACAAAATTTATTGAGATACCCAAGTTATAGAATCGTCCCCACTTTCTGACAGCATTCAATCTAGAGCAAATTCCTATTTTTTTAGTTCTTCCCCAAATCACTCAACTAAGATAAGACCAAAATCTTATCATCAGTTCTTTCCAACACCATCCTACTGAGCTACACCACCATTCTCCATGGTATGTGTTCTTTCTTGTTGCAAAAACCATAAAAACAACTTGTTTAACTACAGGGGTGTTCCTGGTGGTCTTCAGTTACAGGGGTTGACAGCTGCATCCCAGCTCTTGACCCACCGGATGTTAGTAGCATCCTGTTCTGACAACCAAAAGGTGTCCCTTTACATTGCCAAATTACCACATATGGTAGGGGCAACATCTCCTCTGACTGAAAACACTGAGGTAGCTGGGCCAAGATCTTCAGACTGAGGTCAGCCTTACTGTTACATATGTATAAACACTGTCAGTCATTGAAAATTCTGAGTTGAAGAACCCTCCTACTCTTCTGAACCTTTCATTTGATTTTATTTTTCTTTTATTTCCTTCTTTCTTCTCTTCATACTCATCATGAAATTACCCTTTGAGCCATTTATCTTGTTTGAATCCTTAGTGTAGCACTTAAGGAAATTTCGTTATCATTTACTTCAGTAAACACCACATGTAAGAAAAAAAAAAAAGCCGACATTTAGTATTATTTTTTAATAAAATCTGCTTGCATGGACTTCAAGCCCTCCAGGCACCCTAGTATTCTGTAGTTTTTTAAAAATTTTGTTTATACTCTGTGGAGAATATCAAAAACCAGGGAGATTTAAGAGACTGCTGTGAAAAGTTAGTCTGTGTTTATTAATATTTTGCACACATGCCCATAGGCCTTAGGGCAATGAGTTTATTTAAACAAATAGAAATAATACAAACATAACCACATTACCCCTAATTCATCTCTATGATTAATCCCCTGAATGGCAGTGCAGTTTTGTGATTCCACCGGCATGCTGTCAGAAAAGTAAGAAATTCCATCCACTATCAAGGTTATTTATGACATTTTACCACAATGATATAGAATAAATCATATTTATTCACCTGGAAAGCACTTCTAATCACCCCCAGTCTCCCCTGTATTCTGTAATTTCTTGTATCACAGGGATTATATTGTTGTAAGTCAAGGAAATTGTCCCTAAGTTAAGAAAAAACAGAATTCATTGGAAAGATGAAATGCAAGGAGAATAAAAACAAAGGCAAGGAAACTAATGAACAACAGAGTCAGTAGCTTTAGAGACGCTTGTAACAGGAACTCTATGATAGTCTCTTTCAGATTCTACCACTGAAATGGATGTTCTCAAACTTCCTCAGTATTTGGATCATTTTTCTCATATATAAATTTATAAGATAAAGCACAATTGGCGCTGCCTGGGTTACGTGACAGCTCTTGGACGAGGGAGCAGAGAACATCTTGATTAAAGTCCCTACAAGGCTGTATTCAATGGAAGAGATTTAATTATTGTGGTTGGCATAATATGGTCCTTCAAAGATATCCATTCTATAATACAATATATTGTATATATATAATATATATACTATATATATATATAACTTTGGTATAAACTGTTACATCATGGATGCATAGGAATATTTATTATCCGTGTGTGTGTGTGTGTCTGTGTGTGTATGTTTTCACTGTTTTATATCCTACCTTCATCATGAATGATATACTCTGGATATCCTCTACTTCAGTAAACATTCTTCTATATCATTTCTGTTGACTGCATACCAAAGTCCTATTGTTCAACATTTAAGTTGTTTCTAATTTTTAATGTAAAGGGCAATAATAAAGAGACATTCTAGTATGTATCAGGATAAGTTCTTGGTGGGTAGAGTTCCTGGGTAAAAATACTGTTGATGGAAAATGTCAAATTGCATTATACTTCTGGAGCCATTAGTGTGTCATCACTAAGTGACTGGTAAATAAACTTTTCGTAGTGTCTTCTTTGCAAGCAAAAGAAACTGTATATCAGACAGGGGACATGGCATCTAGGATTATTGCTGGTTGTCTTAGGGAAAAAAGTCAGGAGATCTTTAAGGAAATGGAGGGAAAGATCTAAAAACCAACTCTACTAATGCCAGCAACTGGTTGCAGGATGTAGTTGCCAGTCCTTTAAAAGGTGACCAGATTGCCTCCTGTTTTTTTACTGGAGAGACAGTCTGGGTGCATTTTGGCTTTCACACTAGCCAATTTTGAATCATTCTCCCTGGCTCCTGCTGCTTCTCTTTTTGTCCAGTCCCCTTCATATATCATACATCATGTGCTTGAAAAAAAGGCTAGCCAGTTTTTCAGTGGAAAAAGGCATTTAAAGTCAAATAACCAATTTTTCCATTGCTTGTCATTAACTATTAAGTGTTTAAAACATACCTCAATGAAAATACATCTTTCAAGTCAGTTGAATAGAATATAGTGAAAAAATTAAAAATGTGTGTTTTATATATAGGTCTTTATATAGGACAGAGGAGTAATTATTTTTTAGTTTTCTATAACAGGAAAATCCAAAGACATTTAATCTATATTCTCTATTTTTCACATGAATAAATTTGCCAATCACTAGCAAGTGCCAAATGCAAATTTATTATAATTTTAAATTGGCTCTATAATGGGCTCAGTGGCAAACATATGATTTAATATTTTTCATTATGGTATTGTTTATGTTCTATTGGAAAGTTCCTTTAATGCTATTTAGCCACATTAAATTTCCCTGAGGAGTCTGATATCTATTAATGCTTTAAATAGATGTGTTGCCCTGGACTGACTAAAGAACCAAGTTTAATCTTTGACAGAGAACAGATAATGTTTGAGAATAAGAGGAGGGAGAAATGTCTATTCTGCGTAATGTGATTCATAAGGCACCTTGGGATGGGAGGTAAGAAGTGAGGGATATGATATTCTTTGACTTTAACCAAAAATCATGTTGGACTTTGAGGTATAAGGTTAAATTATTCTTAAGACATTTTTTTCTTCCCCAGCCCATATGGAGATGATAGACTTATACACTTCAGTATCTTTGTCTTCATCACAAACAATAGTGGTCTTCGGTAAAGTAGGATCTATTGTCAGGTCTTATTAAACTTTGTTCTCATTACTAAGGAAGCTAAGTTTCAGGTATAAAATGCAGCAAAGTCATGAAGATTTATGTTGAACCATTATAGAGCCACCGTATAAAGTCATTTCAAAAGTTGAAGTGGGAATGTATTTAGATTTTTGAGATATTTTATTTGGTACAGCTTTAAAAAGCTTAGAGCAAAGAAAATCTCTCTTTTTAAATCACTTATTTCTGGAACTAAACATTCAATAATTCTTCTCAAGTAGAACACGTTTGCTTGGCTTTATCTTTTTTACTTCATTATTTTTCAACAAAATTCAAACAGCATTTTTATCAGTCTAGAAGATAGATCAAGAATCTAAGCCCTTGAGAATCTTCTCAATAAATCATTACAGATTTCCTATTCATGCTTCAGTTACCCATGAGGAACAAATAGCATGTACATAAACATCACAATTTCATTAATTCACTCATTAAAAATATATTTACTGAATATCAGAAGGTGTGGAACCCTCAGGAGACAATAAATGTACATCATTTTTCCAAGAGAAAGAGCAGACACCTTAATAAGGTTACCATTCTCTCCAGTTTTATTTTCCAACTTTTCTCCCTTGTTCCCAGGCTCAAAGTCCATTGATCTTCCCATCTTCTCCAATCTACACTCCAAGGTTCAAATTCCCTCTTGCCGTTGGCCCGTGATATCTCTATTCCCTTTGTATGGAATACTCTTATCATCTGGCCCCCCAGTTGTTAACTCCTAATCAGGTAACTCCTCACCCATCTCTTCAGGGAAGCTTTCTTTAATCCTCAAGTCTAGATCAGATTCCTTTCTCATATGTTCTTTTTGCAAATTATACTTATGTAAACATGGAATGATTACTTCATTGACATCCGTCTATCTCCCTCTGCACCCATAAACTTCATGAAAGAAGGACCACGCCTTTCTTTTAAAGTGTTTTATTCCTGGGGACAAGTGGGTTGCCTGGAAAATGAAAGACATGCTAAAAAGAATACTTGTACTGTCAATGAATTAAAAACATAAACAATTGCCATTGAATGTGCGAGATGAGTGGGAGTCAAGGTTTGTCACACATACCACCACCCTTCCAAAAATAAAAAGGCAGAAAATAAAAAAAGAAAAAAATAAAAGAAAGAAAGCAAAGTAACATTCCAACTGAATGAGAGATGAGTGATGTAAATAATTCAGGCTTATGAGACCACAGCCAAAGATGGCAGGGTGCTTTGGAACAACTGCAAGAAAGAGATGGCATTAGTGCGAAATCTTCTAAGATGTGGAGGATTTGGACAAGCAATAAAGAAAAAAAATCTAGATTCTTCCTGGTATGTTACAAAGCTCCACCCCAATATTCAGGAGGAAGCCTCGAAGGAGAGAGATATAGGGAGCCAGGAGGTCACTTAAAGATGGGTGACAGTGGAATAGGAATGAGTGTTAAGAGCTTCGACCAGGCTGCTGAGGGGTCCAAGTAGAGAAGCTAGAGGAGCAAATGATTTGAGAAATTTCACTGGGGGAAGCGGGGGCAGCAATCTCACCCACACACACCCAAACACACAGGCACAAAGTAGATTTTATGACAGATTAGATTTAGAAAAAAAGTAAAATAAGTAATATTGACTCCAGTATTTCTTTAATATGATTGCTATTTTTCATTAAATATACTGGGATATTAATGTATATATAACATATACACACATATAACTGTATGTATTTATGTAAATCTCATATATTGAACATTATGAAGAACTGTTAACACATATATCCCATAAATATACATACCTACTATATACCCACAAAAATTTAAAAAAGAACTATCAACAGTTATTTATAGGCATCATTTTGCTTTAGCTTCACAATAACATGAAGGAGGCATTATTTTTCCCCAGAGAGTTGAGGCAATTTCCCAGAGGACTATCAACAAGTAGTGGCTGAATCAGGACTCAGACCCAGGCTCTCTGACTTCAAAGCTCTGTATGTGACTTGGTAAACTGCTTCATCTCTTTTAGAGGTTGGTTTATTGTGTCATATAATATCAGACTTAACCTAATCTAATGCTACCTTCATGCTAGAAAAAAAAAGAATAGTGAGACATGTCTTGGTAAGATTTGCCCTAGAACAAAAATTTCAAGTAGATAAAGTTTGCTTTGGGTTTTCTCTGGGCAACTCTCCAAATGCTCACTCTCACCTAGTACCACTACAGCATCACCTGACTGCTCACCCAAGCACCTCACCCTTTAAATACTTCTCCCTTGGTCTCATAGCAAACATAGGCCATAAAGATTCTACTGTGGCTGTAGTGTTAGACAAAGAGACAAAGGGTCTATTCATTCAAACCATTTCCCTTTTGGACTAGGTTAGGGGCTAACTTAATGCAGCCTTTGCCAAAACCTGCATTTTAACATTAAACTTCAGTACTTTCATCTAACAAGTTTCAATATTCGTAGACATGGAAATTCCAAAATAAAAACTGGATGAAAACATTGCTGCTTTGGTTAACATAATAGTAGAGGCTAGTGCTTTCAATCCTATCAGCTGAAAAAAAAATTAATAAGACACATGGAAAAACAATTCCAGTAGTAAGTAATCCATTTAAAAATCCACTGTTGTGACCCAAGGGAATGATTAACAGGTTAGTTTTGGACACTGGTAAGTCAGGATAAATAGCTGGAGGAATGGGAGAAGTCTTAGACTCCCTTAAAAAATCAAACGGCATAGACATGCGCTTACTCCCCACAGACATGAAGATAAAGTTACGTCTGGCCTGAATGCATCCAAGGTATTGGTCTTCAGACATTTTAATCAAGAATTCATTGGACACAAGTTATTTACTTGGTCTCAGACCTGGAGTAGCCTTGAATAGTCTCCTTGAATTTGGATGATCAAAGGAGAAAATAGAGATTGATGACTCCTTCTTGGAAGCAGTTGGTTTAATCGCAGTCGCGTTGTGTTTCTTGGTGCCACCTGGACTTGAGGTGTCCCATGCTGAGCACCAATGAAAAATGGCCTTTTCTTTTCCTTTTGCCTAGGATTCTCTCTTGATTCTTAATGGCTTCCATAATTAAGGAGTAACTACCAAGGCAGGGGACATTTCTAGGGGATTAATGGCCAGCTGGGAGAGTTGATGGCCCAGAGGAGGGACTCATTAACCTCAGCGGGCCATTAATTCCTTAGGCACTGCCTGAGGTTGGGGCGGGGAACTGGGTAGGGTGGGTACAACTCTTTTGATCGTATTTTCCAGGGCAAGAAAAAAAAATCCACTTTTAAATATACTGAAATGTAGTACATCTCCCTTAGCAATACACATTCCTGAATGCTGTCTCTAGCCTTTTAATTGCATCATTGTGCCATCAGGTTCCCCCATTTCCTGGAAATATATATATATATATTTTTTTTTTACACCAAGATGTTAGTGTAAGAGTGAGCAGAAATAAATGAGAAAGGACTCTGGTGAGTGAGGTGAAGAATCTAAAATATGCTAAATAACGAAGTTAAAAGGGTTACATTTCAGGCAAACCCAGCCTCATCCTTTCTGAATCACAGCCCTTATACAGGTAATTTGGATGACACTAGTACATTTAATCTTGTGCTAGCCCTACCTCCCTCCCTTCTGAATATTCACAAGAAGGCAGAAGATGTTTAAAAATATTACATGCCTCTAAGGGTATGGAAATAGCCCATCTTTTATGTGGCTAGTAGGAGTGTAAATTGGAACCACCTATTGAGAAGCAATTAGATACTAGCTATTGAAATTTCAAATCTGCATGTCCTAATGCAGAATTCTACTCATCTCTATTGTTCCTAGAAAAAATTTTGCTTATATGGATAACAAATTTTGCTTATATGGATGCCTTGTTGGGCAAGGAGGCTGACTGCAACATTGTATACAACAGCAAAAAACTCCAAGCTGCCCTAATATTTATCAACAGGAGAATGGCTACATGATAGTGTATTCATATTAAGGAAGGCCAGGTGGTAGTTAAAAGAATGGCGTAAAAACTGCATTCATCAAAAGCTCTTTAAATCACTTGGAATAGGAAAAATAGCATGAAAGAGTGATGCGCACTATCTCCTATGACATAATTCATGTGAAAATAACAGAAAACAATACTATATATTTTCTAAGGAATAGATTCATGTAAATGACTAGAAAATGGCCCGGGGGAAATAAAACACACAGAGGTACGCGGCGGGTACACATACACTCATGAACGTGCGCACACTCCAGAGTCGAAACCACGATGGTCTCCAAAAGAATGGAATTGTGGAGGTGTCACCCTCATCTCTATTTTTTATTTTTTAATTTTAATATTATCCATAGGTAACACTCTCATTTAGGAGTTGGTTACTTAAAATTAACATTAAAAAGAAAATTACATAATTACTATACTTTGAAACCAAGGAAATGGTAGGTTTTGTAGGGCTCTTCAGTGGTTTGGGCATCCTATGGTAGATAGGAGGTTCATAATCTGTCTACATTTTTGGACTGACTTCCCAGGAAGCAACTTGGGGAATACAAGTCCCTGTTCCCCACCAGCAGGCTACGAATCCCTGAAGCTGTTGGCCTTGGGATCCAGGAAAGGAACAGTTCTATATATAAATATTGCCTGCAAATAATGATATAAAGCCATTACAGCACTGCTATTAACCCCCAGCAGAAATTTATTTAATGAGAGGAGTTAACGCATAATGCATTCCTGGTTACGTGATGGGGAGGTGAGGACTGAGGATAATGTCTCAGATGATTGGGAGATCACTTTAGTGTTTTGGTTCTCGGGGTACAAATGAACATTAACAGCTAATACTTGTTCCTTAACAATATCTGTCTTCAAGAATTAGATATCCTTTAAAAATATATTTGTTATCATTTGAGGACAGAGACATCAGAATCTCAAAGTTCACAGAGTTAAAATGACTGTGGTTTATTGACACAGCTCTGGCATTTATTAGCTATTTAACAATGGGCAAATGATTTAAATTCTCTGAGCCTTAATTGTCTCATCTGTAAAATTAGGAGACTAATAATAATACTTGATCCATAAATTGTTGTAAGAATGAAATAAGATAATTCATATAAAAATGTTAGTTCCTAATTAGCATGCAATAAGTGTCATCCATTATTATTGTTATGTTTATTACCAAGACTACTGTTATTACTACTAGTTATCATTGGGCAGGGACTGAAAATCAGAATTGGCTTCTAGTAGTGACTATGCCATCTGTTGAAAGAGTGACCTGTATATGTTGAGTTATCCTCTGGCACAAAGTTTCATTATTTGTTAAATGAGCTTAAGAATAAATTGATTTATCTGTATTTCTAGGGGAAAAAAAGAATAAGTTCAGATCATGTGTACCAAAGTTAGAAAAAAATTAATGCAAAAATAAGAGTTTTAATTAGTTTTATCATTATTTTACTCCAATAAACATAGATTTAAGCTGTATGCACGGTGTTAGAGGCAGGGTGATATGTTATTATTTGTCAGTTATCACTCTTCCCATATTGAAGTCAAATCTCATTTTATGCTAGACTTGTGATTTTCATCCCAATGGTAACAGAGATGTCCACAGTGACTCACAAGCTCAATGGCCAAGAAAAACAAAAACAAAAAACAGTTGATTTCTTTACTTTTCTGCCTAGCAAAGGTGATAGCTGCAATCCATGGTGCTTTGTGACATGAAACAATATTCTGCAATTCCTACATCAGAAGCATAAATCATAGAAACAGTCTTCTAATAAAATATATACCCTAATATTGCTGTTCTGACTGCATTTTCATGTCCTAGTGAGACAGACAGATATTCCGGGCAATGAAAATGTCTTTTGAAATACTTGCTAAATTGTGCTATGAGATGCTGGCCATTACTGTGTTAAGAACATTAGATTCGATGTACTACTCAGAGCTGAGGCAAGGCAGATGACCTGGGGTGACTCTCTGAAGAAGGTATGGTTCATACTACAAGCCCATCTCCCAGTCCTGCTCACCATGTCAGACGCTCTCTTGTCACCCTGGCTGTCTCAGGTTCTCTTGGTGACTAAAACTATCACTCTTGTCCATCAACCCCAGTTTTCTTGAATTTTCCTGCTCTTTCTAGCTGTTTTATTTTTTTTATTTTTTATTTTTTTTCCTGAAAGAGGGAGACAAATCACACTAGTTTCCCTACAATAGGTATAGATAGCGCATTTGACACAGCAATAAATAACAATGAATTACATCATGAGAAGTGTTCTTTTCAACAATTCTGATAAGATCAAAGAAAACATCTCCATTTGTTGCTACAATGTCTGTAATATCTCTCTAACATTTTCTCAGTCCCCTGACCCTCCTTTTTTTCTTTTTTTAAACCAATAAGGCCTCAGGCACACAGCGTCCTGCAGGTAACAGGGTCTAGCTAGAATTTCATGGATTTGTTTTGTTGCAGATGTCTCTATTCATTTATTGGTTACCTTCTATTCATAACAAGTACTGATTTCAACTTTTGTGGTCATGATACAATGACGAGCTTTAAAATGCGTTGAATACATTTTTTAAAGTGAAGTAATTAAAAGTACGCGGAAATAGTAGGTGGATGAGTGAAATCTGATCCTATACCCCCATCCTCCTGGTACTGTAATGATTTGATTCTTCTGTGCCACATTAATGTATTGCCTTTCCCAGATGGCAGGGTCACTTTTGTAACTCCTGGACCTTAGCTTAGTACCTAGGCCCAGGAGGTTTTGAATAAATGTATGTTGACTAAGTAAATCAATAAAAGCAAAAATAAAAGGAAAACTGTAGAACCTCACAAGAATACCAGGGTGATTGGCTGGTAGTTGGTTGTTTTTCTGTAGGCAGTAGACTCTACCGTGTCTGTGTGTGTGGGTGGGGTTAGAATAGTGGGTTAAAGGATGAGAGAGGTTACGACCAGCAGTGGGCATCTCTCTAGCCCATGAGGCACCCAATTTTGACCACATATCTAGAAAAATGGTTCTTAAAGCATGCTCCCAGGACAAGCAGCATCTGCATTAGCTTTTGCTTGTTAGAAACACAAATCCTTGAACCCCTCTCCAGACCTAATGAAGCAGAAACTCCAGGGTTCGGATCCTAAAGCCTTTTTATTTTTAGAACCCTCTAGGTGATTTTGATGCATGCTAAATCTTGAGCGTCACCACTGCATTGGCAATTAAACATAATCAAAGTTGTGATTCCTAAGAGGAGCAGGAGAATCATTCTTAATTTGATGGGGTTTGGAGATAATAGGGATTAAGTACTTCCAGTGATCAAACTGGTACACAGGTTTCTAAAAAGCTGAGAGATAACTCCTTTTTGTCGCTCTATGCATTTGATATCTACAGATAAAAACAACACAATAACTCCACCTTTACTTTTTTGAACAAATACACTCTTTCTAAAAGCGCAGGAACATACGCGCATTGAGACTTTCTGAAGTTTAAGTTCTAACTTACGTCTTCTAAATTAGCAAACCTGGACTACAGATCAAAGCAGCTAAAAGTGTAAATTCCACCCAATTAACGAGACTAGTGTCTGAAATACTTCATACGGATGACCAACTTCACTCGCTTTTTAAGTTATTTGGGATAACCTTGGTGGAGTTTTCTCCTCCGCATCCTGAGAGAGAGCACCGAAGGTAAAAAACAAAAACAAAAACAAAACAAATAGGGAGCGGCTAGTCTGAACAGAGTGAAAAACCATCTCGAGAGCCCTTAGAAGCCTATTGAAAACATTTTCTTCAAAGGAGTTCCTGCAACAATTATTACAGCTCATTTGCCTGCAAATGTGCTCTCTGTTGTTAATCAGTCAGTCATTAACCTCAGCAATATCAATGTGTTGTCACCATGCATTTCAAAGAGGTGAATGAAGATGGGCGGTCTGTAAGAGCGGCCTCAGCTCAAAGAGCCCATTACGCTATTTATTCTTCCAAGGTAAACTCACACTCACAACAAAGATTTTTATCTCAGGCACTCGGCATTCTTTCCTAGGCTTTTCCTAAGGCCCTTTATTTAGGTCCGTGCCCATCCTTTACTCTGATTGCCAAGGAAATGGTCTCAGAGACCAAATAACACATTGGGAAAAATGGGAGGATTAGGACAGAGATGAAATTCAGTCGAAGGTCTACAGTTTAGGGGCATGAAAGAGCAATTGCTCTTGCCTTCTTCCCCAGCAGAAAACCCAGGCCTTAGAGAAAGAAGCCAAGAGAGGCCAATGGGAGCCATTAATTATCCAGAGAATAAACTCTAATGTCCCTAGCCTGTAGTTTTTCTCCCAACAGTGGTCATTTAGAAATCCCTGTGAGTGCCAGCCCTGTAGTGTGTCCTTGCATCCATCTTTCCTAGACCTTCGTATCCTCTACACGCTGTTTGGTCTTCCTGTGCCTGTCTTCCTCTACAATCTCATGCAATGGTCGAAGACTTTTCAGAGACGATGGATGAATTGCATCCACTTTGTATCGTTGTTGCTCAGAAAGCTGTGAACACCCTAAAATAGAATCCCAAATTTTATATCATTGTGAATTTTTCTAAGGAGAGATCCATAGCTTTCATGGGATTCATGATCAAAACGAAGAATCACCAGAAAAACTAACCCAAATTCTATTTTAATGAGTATGTATCAACTGTAAATGGTATTTCCTTTTATATCTAGCATATTCCATCATGGAATGACTGTTTTTATAGGTCAAACATAGCGAACCAAGCACCAGAAATTTCAATTGGTCCCACCTAATAACAAACATTTAATATAAATATATAAATAAAAGTGTATTAAATAAGCTTTTTATAAATGAAAATCACATTTTAATATAACTTATACAAACAATGTATTTAATCATGTAATACTTCAATATATCTGAGTAAATTTATGCTAAATGCATCTGTTTATGGCTATGCTTTACATAGACAGCAGCAATTATTAGAGCTTTCTAATATGTATACCAGACACATAGGCACTTACAAGGTCATAAAAGCACTTTGGAGGCCTTTTGTACACAGCTATTGGTCTCCGGGATGACTGGGTGAGATTGTTTTTCTTTTCCAGAATCTTTTTTTTAAAGGGAATACCGTACCTTATATATAAAGGCATCAAAGTAATGTATCTCCAAATAATGAACAGGTCTCTTCCTCCTAAGACTGTGGCTGGATTAGCTTCTAAATGTGTAAGATCTTGTTTCCATACAGATCTCCCTGATAAAAATTAGAACCCCACGGATGGGCCTGAGAAGACACTGGGCGCATACAGATCTCTTAATAAAGTCCTTATTCTACCAGGACAGACTGCCCCACTCCCTCCACCCCAGCTTGCATACTCTATTCTTCTGTTATGGCAGTTTACATACATAAAGCTATCAATTTAGTTAATTAGGCTTTACAACTGCTATTTAAATAAGGAGAAATTCTTTTTCTCCGATAAAGCCACGCAAATAAATTATTGCTGTTGTCACAGATTGCCTAGCTGCTACTTTGCTAGAAAGCTTCAAAGTGTAACTTTGATGTGAAAAGAGTCTTAGGGAATATGCATATGAGAAACGATTTTGAAGAGAAGCTTTAACACAAAGTCTTAGGAAAATAGAAAAATAGAGTGAGCCAGAGCCCCACCTTTATTTGGTGGCAATTTAAGGAATTCAAAGAAGTAAGAATATACATTCTTTTTTTGTTGTTCTCAAAATTTCAGATCCTCATTGTTCCCAAACATCAAAGTATAGAAAATGTTTTGAGCATTTGTGGATACTGAAAAGTCCAAATAAAGGTCTGGCACAGTGGCTCATGCCTGTAATCCTAGCACTTTGGAAGGCTGAGGTGGGAGGGCCACTTGAAGCCAGGAGTCCCAGACCAGCCTGGGCAACATAGCGAGACCCCCATCTCTACAAACAATTTTTTAAAAAATAGCCAAGTGTGGTGGTGTGCACCTGCAGTCTTACCTACTCAGAAGGCTGAGGCAAGAGGATTGCCTGAGCCCAGGAGCAAAAGGCTGCAGTGATCTATGGGCGCACCACTGCACTCCAGCCTGGGCAACAGAGTGAGATACTGTCTCTATAAAAAAAAGAACATAATTTCTTTAAATAAAAGTGCAAATAAAGGAAAGAAGCTGAAACAATCATTGTGGAAGATAATGTAATCTTTAAGGAGTTCAAACTGGACTTGTGTTGTTTGCCTCTGTTGCTAATGAACCAACCAGATATGAGAATATTATTTTCTGGTCATGATTTCAAAAGAGGAAAACATTCCTCTTTGATGGATCAAACCCACTGGTTCTTGAATCCCAACATCGAACACAGGAAGCCGTGCTATACAACCCAGTTCTGGGAAGCTCCTAGGGGAAAGAAGAGACTTGAAAGCGCTAGGATTAAAGTCTGTCTCAGCCTCATTCCCAGGCATGTGGAGCAAAAGTCCATTTGGAGATCTAATTTTTTTCGAACTCAACATCATAAAGCTAATATAGGAACTTAAATAAACAGTGAATGAATTGGTCTCCCTAAGACTTGATTTTACTTTTTTATTCTATTCCTTTTAAAGACAATGGATAATTAAAAAAAGAAAAAAAATTGACTATCAACTCATTTCTTTTTTTTTCTTTTACTCCCGGCAAGCTGTGAAATTAACTCATTTCTTTTCGCAGAAAGCCACTCCAACCAAGGTATTATCAGAGGAATATATTTTTCTTTCCTGTAACTGCATCCTTTAGTCCTGATGAAGACTTACAATTTGTCATCAAGAGGCAGCCTTAGATTTCTACTGTAAAGCAATATCTGATAAACCCCTTCCATGGCCAACAGGAAAGCAGAAGTAATCTTTGAAAAATAAATAAATAAGTAAATTCTAAAAAACCTCAGGATGACTTGATAAGGTTAAGGCACTCTTAAATGAGAAAGCCTTTCCTGGGAACTGAAACTAAGACACCACACAGTTCCCATCAAATTAAAATGCTAATAGAGGGGGTAGCAGGCTGCTGTATCTTAGATCAAGTTTTAGTTTTCTTTGGTTTTACTTTCTGTCAGGGTTATTCTATCATAATGTATCACGAAAAGCATTGCACTCACATCAAATCAAATTGTTAATGGAAAGGGTGGCAGCCTAAAGCACTCTTGATCAACTGCTAATTTTGTTTTATTCTTCTTCCTCTTACAGCTATTCTCTGAAATGAATAACTCTGCATTTGAAAGAGGTTTTTGAGAGAAGCTGGGCACTAAAACAGATTAAGATGAACCGAAGACACAGAAAACCATTATGTTCACAGAATAAACAGTTTTAGTCATTTAATGTTGTAAAAAATGTATTCGTCTGTGACGTGCTGCTTTCACCACTAAAAGGTCTCCTGTTAAATATGCGCATGTCTCCACATTGGGCCACTGATACCCACAGGACAAACCTAGAGGGACAGGCTCACCGTCCATCTTGAATTTGTTATTCTGATGAGCAGACAACTGCTATGAACATCCCTATATACAAAATGGAGAGGAAGCAAATTTAGTATTGCTGAGAAGTGTCAGATTTAATGCATTAAGGATCAAAGTAATCAATTTATCTGGAAGATCAGGGAAAGAGCAAGAGAGGAAGAATCTGCCCCATTGCTGGCCCTGCCTTCGATGGCCAGAGCTCTGTGTAACAAAGGTTTGTCAGCTTTTTGCCATACTCAATCCTTGGGGATCTCTGCCAAGACTGAGAAATCGGAGCCCTTGCTGCCCTATTGAAAAATGAGAGGGTGCATATCCAGCAGGGATGTGATAGAGACGACCAATTGGTATCCAAGCGTTCATTTACTCTTTCAAATGGAAAACTCTCCTTCCAAA
This sequence comes from Homo sapiens, assembly GCF_000001405.40. Taxonomy (NCBI): domain Eukaryota; kingdom Metazoa; phylum Chordata; class Mammalia; order Primates; family Hominidae; genus Homo; species Homo sapiens. Next base: position 166,320,678 of record NC_000005.10, on the reverse strand, counting down.
CACAGTGTAGAGGAAAACAAGACCAACCGCTTCCCACCAGCCACCGCCCTCCACCCAAAAAAAAGCTTTTTGATAAGCTGCTGACAGTGTAGATTTGGCTGGTGTTTTACTTACTTTAGAGACTTGCTTTGTAGATCTTACGACATTTGCTACATGACAGCGTGATGTGTTAAGCATTTACCTTCCAAAAGAAGTTCAGGAAAATAAGGCAAAGAAAAGGAAAGAAACTGGAAACTATTGTTAATGCTCCCCTTCCTAACGAAGAAAGCTTAATAGGCCTACCAAGACGCTAGCAGCAATTTAAAAAAATCACCAGATTCCAAGATTCCTCTTGGGTTTCACAGAGAAACGTAAGGGTTCACTGATGTTCCAAAAATAAAATTTGAAAGTAATTCTAGATCTCCCTCCATAATAGGTGCCTTGAAAATTATCTTCTAATGCCTCTATTTCTCTCTCTAATTAATAATCTGGCCTTAATTATTACAAACCATTCTTCCTTTGAGAACTTGTTACTGAGTAGTGATTTCATTCTGCTGCGGGGCAGATGTTGCTTTTACATTTTTACGGTTTCCAAAATAATCACAGGATTTTCAGTCTCTTGTCTGAAACAAATAAGTTTGTTTCCCATTTTCCAATCATATTAATGAGAAAATCCACCTGTTTCAATATAGTGATTGGGTCTGATAAGTCAAAATAAACAGTCAAACAAATAAAACCAAACAACAACAACCACCAAAAAAAAGATTTAAATATACTTTAAGTTTTTTTTTTTCCTTTCCAAACAAGTGGAATGGATGGAAACTGAGAATGGTAAAGTACTGTATTACCAGAGTAAATGTTTGATACCTGAAGACGGAATAATAACTGGAATACATTATTCACAATTTGGATATGGACATATAACATATGCATGGGGCAAAATAGAATTTTAAAGTGTGGACTTTGTGATGGGAAAACTAATGATCTATTAAGTTCTCAAGTGTGGGAATCCACAATTACAATGATAGGTAATGCTGCTGCTAAGTGCTGTGTGGTTCTGGGCAGAAAGATTTCTTGGGGGGAGCGAAATTGGTACCATTTCAGGAAGAGATGCAGACCTCTGTCAATATTCAAGTCCATTCACCCCAGCCGGCTCTGATCTTGCCTCCTCCCTGCAATCTGGCTCCTGGTGAGTTTGTTCTCCAGAATCTCATTGCAGCTTCAGTCTCCTTCCTTAATGAAATGCTTGTCAGCTGCTGCACAGGAGATGTCCCCCCAGAATCTTGATTAACCTTTGCAGTCAATGAGCCTCTATGATTTTTCCCCCCAGAGAGACCAGGTTCATGGTGAATGAGCTTATCTCTGGAGTTTTCTTTCTGATCTGGTATACCCATCTATCCATACATTATGTGTATCTATTTATCTAAGTTTTCCAATGAAGGACAGAAATGTCTGCCTGATTTTAAGTGTCCATGTGTAAAATAACTCTAAACCACTTCTATCCAAAGCTGCTGCTATTTTTTTTCTTTTGGATGGTAGAGAAAGCTGCTTTTAAAATATAGGTTTTGATCAATTTTATATTATCCCTTTTTCAGGTCTCTAATGTCTATTTCAAGGGATGTTTTAACACTGTAAGTTTTACAGCAGCTCATAACTGATAATGAAGACTTTCCCAGTACTACTTCTCCTTTGACACCTGAATTCCAAACTGAGATTTAAATATATAGTAATTATGAATGATATCACAGACGAATATTAGATTAGAGCACAGAGCATATAAGACATCACAAATTCCTTTGTTAATGCTAAATTCCCAGCCAAGGGAAGCTCAAAAGGCATCAGTGGATACTAGAAATAGAGGTTCTTTTTTTTATGCTCAGTGGATTTTTCATAGACTTTCTTTAGCGGAAAACCTAAAGAGAATATGTCAGTATCAAATGAAATTGCTACTTTGTGTCCTATGGATTTAGATTATCAGGCACAGTGGCTTTGGAAAATCTGAATATTTCTAAAGAAGGATATTCACTAGAAAATAACTTTTGATAGGTAAATAATACCAAACTTTAATCATTCTAGTGCTTCAATTTAAAAACAAGTTCAGGGACAACTCTATTCTGCTCACCAAGGAAAAACAGTAATTTTAAATACGAAGCATACAGGAAACCCTTCATCTATAATCTTAGATTGGCTAGGCTGTTCATGAGATGCATAGTTGACTACCATTTCTTTAAAGGATGGCAGGAGATCTTGCCTGCTATAATTCAAATGAAGCATTTAATATGCATCTGCTTTGTCCAAAACATTGATCTAGGCATGGCGAGATTTCAGAGAGCCTTTGCCCTTTGGAAACAGAATATTTTCATACAAAACAACAATAACAACAACCAAAATCCCAGCTAATTTGGAAGCAGACTGCAGATACAATGAGAAAGTCTCTTCAAATATAAGAGCTAGGTTCTCACTTTAACAAGGCAAGGTAAAGTGAACATTACTGATTGTCAAAATTATCCTTGAAACTTCTTTAAATCTGGAGGACCAGGGCTCTGGGCAAAAAGCTAAGAATTCACTCCAGCACTTTGATTTCCCTTTGCCCTGAGGCTTTCCCGGCCCTGAGTAGGGTAGAGGTGTGAGTCTACTTTGAAATGGGAAGGAGAGGAAAGATGAGATGAAGAGTTGGAAAGGAGGGGAGAGGGGGAGACATAGGATGGAGAAGGGAGGGGCCACAGAGATGCACCAATCTTCTTTTTCCAAGAAAGTGCCATTTGAACTCTCGCAAGTGAGGGCATGGTGTCTCTCTGCTCTGTCTCTGGTGGTTCTGATTCTTGCTGAGGATGGAACTTAGTTACAGCTGCAGAAATCACCTGCGGTAATGTGAACCGTTTAGGTGCCGGGACATTTGCATTCACGAAGAAAACCCCCCCTGAGGATGTAGTTTCTGCTACTGGTGGATGGTTCTTAGTCTGAGGGAGAAACTCCAGGGCCATAGTGTCCGCTTCTGGAGGTTAGGGGTATTAATTGGCTCTTCCCTTTGGCTCTTTGTTTCATACCCAGCCCTGACTCCTTTCCTCACCCCTCCAACATGGTTGATTTATTACCAAATAAAGCTACTCTTTGCATGCGTTGGCCAACCATATTTCATCGTCTCTACCATTCAACAGACCATACAATTTCTGAAGATATCATTAACCCAGGCTTTGATGCACAGAACACGCAGAGAAAGTGAAATAGCAAATGTACTTGTAAGACCTCTATTCCCCTACACAGTAATGGCTTAACACTTTGGCATTAATTCCATTTGTCAAGCTGTAAGATAAATACATGTGCATCAGACACTTTCCCAGCATTTATTCAAAGGGCAGACAGTGAAGACCACTATTTAAATGGGAAATCTGTCCATTTGTTTTTGAAAATAAAGCAGAGCTTCACATTTCACAAACTATGTCAATCCTTTTAAAGAGACAATGCAATTTTCAGAACAAAACTGCCGATGAGGCTTCATCTCTATAAAAATAACAATACTACTACTAAAAATTCTGAAATTCTAAAGCAAGGTGAATATAACATTTTTTTTCTTGTAATTGAAAGTTAAAAGTCAAAAAACCTAACGCCCTTGACAGTAATGTTTGCATTTATAATTTCTGTATATTTCTATTAGGAACATCTTCTATCATTTCTAACCTTGGGCAAACCGCAGTAAGTCTTGCATCCAGTGAAGCTTTTTATGTGCAATGATATTCACATATGGATAGATTATCACATCTTGAAAGAGATTTCCAGATTTCTCCTTATGTCTCTTGCCTATATTGGTCTCTTCTTATACTGCAATGCCAGGTTGACTCTCTTCTTTAAAATGGTTATCTTTTTTTTTTTTTTTTTTTTTTTTTTTGGCCTCTCAGCTTTCCAAGTGGACTGAAGCATTAAGTTCTAATGTATGGCCTCATTCAAGTACAGTCATCCACCACATAACCACATTTTGGTCAACCAGGGACCACATATACAGTGATGGTGCCATAATACTATAACACTGTATGTTTACTTTTTCTATGTTTAAGATATGTTTAGATGCACAAATACTTTCTATTATGTTACAATTGCCAGCAGTATTCAGTACAGTGTTATGATGTACAGGTTTGCAGCCTAGGAGCACGGGGCTGTACTATATAGACTATGTGTGTAGTAGGCTGTACCATCTAGGTTTGTGTGAGTACATGTTATAATGCTTGCATAACAATAAAATCGCCTACCAATGCATTTCTCAGAATGTATCCCATCCCTTATGTGACACATGACTATATTTTCCTTCAAACTATATAGTTTTAAAAGAATCACCAAGAATGGCTGGGCGCGGTGGCACATGCCTGTAATCTCAGCACTTTGGGAGGCCGAGGTGGGCAGATCACCTGAGGTCAGGAGTTTGAGACCAGCCTGGCCAACATGGTGAAACCCTATCTGTACTAAAATTACAAAAATTAGCCAAGCGTGGTGGTGGGTGCCTGTACTCCCAGCTACCTGGGAGGCTGAGGCAGGGAGAATTGCTTGAACCTGGGAGCTGGAAGTTACAGTGAGCTGAGATAGCACCACTGCCCTCCAGCCTGGGCAACAGAGCAAAACTCGTCTCAAAAAAAAAAAAAAAATCACCAAGAATGAGTCAAAAAAGTACAGAGATTTTGAAACACTATACCTAAATACAACTTTTCTGTTTATAGAAATATATACGTTTTTTCTAGTAAAGAAGACCTAAACATCATTCATAGTGTCAAAACATTGCTTTTTTGTTCAAGAAAAACATACCTAGTCTAATTCTGCAGTCCCCTTTTCACTTCTCCTCAGGCCAGGAGTTTGAGGCTGTAGTGAGCTGTGATCGTACCTGTGAATGGCCACTGCCCTCCAGCCTGGGCAACATAGCAAGACCCTGTCTGTTAAAAAACAAATGCAGCTACTAAGTCTTGGGTAACTAAGAACAAAAAAGTATGTTTGAAAGATGTTAATAGAAATAAATAAGACAATAAAAGTCACCCTTTCAGACTGCCTTCTGGATTTAGATTTCATGCCCTCTGCAATAATATAAGGCCCATGAGGTCAAGGCCTTTGTTCTGTTCATTTCTATTTTCCCTTAATCTAGAAGTATTCGTGCCATACAGTATATGCTCAATAAATATCTGTTGGATTAAGCTAAAACACATATTGTTGTGCCAGCCAGGCACTGAATTAAGCAACATATCATCTCACTTAACCTTACAAAAATCCGTCAGGAAACTCCTACTAGTATTTCCATTTTATGAATGAGAAACTCAAATCAGGCTTATATAGTTTAAAAAGTATGCTCTGAAGAACTCCCAAACCTTCTCTCCCCTCAACAATTTCATCTTCTATTTGTTGAACTGTATGATCAGGAAAGAAAATTTCCCAATTTGCTATACACAACTTCAAAAGGATTGTTAATTTACTCTTATTATCCCATGTGAAATGTAGAAGCAATTGTGTAAGCAAGAGATACAGGTGCCCTGTTACATGGTTACAAACTAGAAAATAATCTGATGATAAGATTTCTTACTCTGATGCCTGAGGGTCAACCATCAGTCTGCTTTACATTTTCCATTTAAATACTTGAACACAGTCTAGAGATGACACCCTAAGCTATATTGTTACACACCAAAACAACCAAAAAATAAACTGCCAGGACTAAAACAATCTAATATATTTAAAGCATTATGCTGTCAGCTCTAAATCAGAATTTATTTCTAGAGTTGCAATACAAAATCAATATTGGAAAAAACATCTAAACTGAATGTTAGAGGCTTCTGAGTGTACATACTCTACAAGGAATTTTTATTTTAATCTATGCCACATATTTATATCTGATAAAATTCTCAGTTGAAACTCTCAAATTCATGTTTATATATCACATACATAAAATGCAATGGTTAACAGACATAAATTATAGTACTATTATAACAACACAAAGCCAAACAATAAAATACATGAACCAATGAATGTCATCATTTTAAATACAATTATTAATGTTTTGAACCCTGCCTTTGCTTCTGCAGATAGTATAAAATCATGTCTCATGTCACAATAACGTTAATGGTATTATCTTCTCTCCAGCTAAACTCTAAAGCATTGCGATTGTTATGAAATGTATTATTTTGTACCTTAATTTGGAGTCATATGCATGTGTATCTTAAACACCCTACTGAATTGTGACCGGATTATTATGTATTTCTCAGACACCATGCATTGTGCAGAGTAGATGCTCAATAAATATTTTTTGAATTAAAGAAAGAAAACAAACAGGAAATACCTCATGAATATTTAAAATATGCAAAGTGTGCAATGCACATATGTAGTGACAAGAATTACACAAAGGTGGCTGGATGCTAGTCAACTTCATGGATGACTTGAAGCCTTTCACTGATTCCTGTCTGCAAACCACATGAGGTTCAACCAGATGGCCAAAACCCTCCAAGATTTCAATGAAAGTAGCTTGGTGGTATAACCAGGTACCAGTCAAATGAAGCTAAACTATGCACACTGTTTGCTGAAAGTGGGATTCTGGACCACCTGCATCAGAGTAACCTGGGGTGTTTGTAAAAAAAACCAAAAGAACCAAAACGACAACAACAACAAAAAAACAGATCCCCAGGCTCCAGACCTGCTGAATCAGAATCCCTCTTGTGAAACAAAGAAAGTATCCAAAGGGAGTTTTAGGCCCTGTGAGGACTGATGCTCACTATTCCAGCCATCGTCTTCAAGGGAGGTGTTAGGATACCTTTGAGAAAGTAAGAAAAAAAAATTTCTCCTGCCAGGCTCCTCCTTGGTGGAGAGGATTAGAAGAACATGCCTTTTGAGGATAGCATGCTAGAAGGTGTTGAGTTTAGAGACATGAAGGCGTGTGAATTCAGCTCCAATGCCACCATTCTACTTGCTGCTTTTGTGCAGAGCACAAATAGCATAACTCTGGATAGTGGCTTTAGGTACCCTCTAAGGACCAAAATATACAGTTACCATATTCCAAACTGGAGAACACATCTAAAGACTCACTATGTGACCCAAGTTTTCAATCTTAAAGCAGCCTTCCATTTCTCACTAGTATTCTAGGGGAAAAAAAACCAGCAGATTTCAGATACATATGCAAAAGCATTTCTTGATGGAGAGGTTATTAAACACCACAGTAGGCAGGTAATAATGCCTAAATGCCTGGGATGGGGTAAATGATCTCCTCACCAAAAACCATACTGGGGAGTTTGGGACAGGATAATGTCTCAAATTCCCTTGTAGCCACAGGAGTTCACAATTTTATTACCTAAGGATGCAAAAACATTTTGGCACATGCTGGGTTTAGGCAATTCCACTATAGCCTAAATGGCCTTTAAGAAGCAGAGATCTTTTTAAAATCCTACTCTAGGAACATTTAATATTTGAAATTGTTTGAGATGAAAGCATAACACCCAATTGTTACAGCTTCATGAGTGACTCTTACTTGCCTAATTATGGGAAGCAGTGCTGTCAATAGTAAAACATTTTCAAGAGATTAATTTCGCACAATAAGAGCTCCCATGCCAGCCCACAAATCCTTTAAAGTGTTCCACGTATTTTGCAACACTGAGTGGCCAGCAACTCTTTTTAATATTTACAGACAAAATGATATTTGGATAAAGCAAAGGTCAGACCCCAAAAGAACAAAACAAGGCAGAATGACATTCTAAATTTCCAGGTTGTGGCTCTTAACTTGGCAACCAATATATGATGAGACAAAAATAGAAAGAAATTTCACTGTGCTCTCTCTCATTGTTAAGTATTATCCAAACTCAAACAATTTCTAGGGTAACTTGAGAAGCATTGAGAAATCTTTCTAAGAAAGTCAGGCCTCTCTGTAAAACTTTTGCTCTAATAATGTTTGTTTCTTTCAAAGCATGAATATGTCCTTTCTGCTTTGGTTAATTCCACATTTAGTACTAGGTCCCTTTTGCAGTGCATATTGATGACTTGTAATTAGAATTCCTTGTTCTAAGCTCATAAATGCTATTCCCACTAATGATGAGAAACATGACAAAGGAACATGAAAGATCGGTCTGACTCCCCACATAGATGGTGTGATTCCTAGTCCAGAAAATCATCAGAATATCCGGGGATGCACTCTAAAACTGTAGTCGCTAAGTCACACTCTCAGTGATTTTGATTTAGTAGGCATCTATTTCCTTTTATACTACACAAAGAGAATTCCAATCAGCCAGGCTTAAAAATCCTTAATACAGGTGATGACTTACACATTATAAATGCAGGACTTCTGAAGGTCTTCTTTATATGTGACATAACTTTATCAACCTACTCACCAAATATGGTGTTTTATTAACAGAAAATTATAACCTTTCATTCCATAGTTAGAAATGCAAATGCTATTAGAACAAGAGACATTGATTAGCATAATACACGAGGATCATTGACAACATTTTATGAAGGTCTAGTTGAACCAGGCCTGACTAGGCTGTGAAGGAAACAGGTATGCAGAGCGCTTTGTCAGGCTGGCATAGCACAATAGCACAGAGTGATGATTAGACATTACTCAACTCCACAGTCGTGCATCAGGCTTTCACCATTGTTGAGCTACTTGACTTTGAGATTTACTTAACCTCTCTGAGCCTCATCTGTAATTCAGAATAATAGTACTCATCTCTTAATTTTTTTTTTTTTTTTTTTAAAGGCAGAATCTTGCTCTGCCTCCCAGGCTGGAGTGCAGTGGTGCAAACTCAGCTCACTGCAACCTCTACCTCCTGCGTTTAAGTGATTCTCATTCCTCGGCCCCCTGAGTAGCTTGGATTACGGGCATGCACCCTCACACCCAGCTAATTTTTTGTATTTTTAGTAGAGATGGAGTTTCCCTATGTTGGCCAGGCTGGTCTCAAAATCCTGGCCTCAAGTGATCTGCCCACCTTGGCCTCCCAAACTGCTGGAATTACAGGCGTGAGCCACCACACCTGGCATCTCTTAATATTTTAATGAAGAATAACTACATGGAAAGTATAGAAAACAACTATTCCTGATATATGTCAAATGCTCAAATAAAAGTCTACTATCAGTCATATTAATACTACTCTTCACAATTTAGTTGAACAGTTCCTAACCTGGCTAAATGTTAAGATGGCCTATGGAGTTTTTAAGAAATTACTGATACGTTAGTTTGCTATCAAGAAATTCAGTAAGTCTGGGTAGACCTGAGAAGCTGCATTGTAAAAGACCTGCAGGTGGTTCCTATAGACACTTAGGATGATCCACCCAAGCAACATAGTCCTTGGCTTCTCAATCACAGTCCTTAACCAGGACACAAAGGTAACATCCAAGTGCAGAACAGCAGTAGACCTTTGGGGCCAATGTCTGGTTAAAGATAACAAATGAATGTTTGAAATATAATATTTTAAATTCAGAGTGTATAAAATGCTTTTCTCAGTTTTTAATATTATCATGTGCAGAATCAATTTAAATGTAAATTATTTTATTATTTCATGATTCCCCTTCTCAATGTATTGCCAGTAAATTTATTTTCCTGACTAGATTCCTAGACACATAATAATGCCTGCTCATTCATTCATTCTTCCAAGTATTTACTGATTGTCTACCTAAAGAATACCAGCTCAGTTCTAGGCACTACCAATTTTAAGGTGAACAAGGAGGATATTGAATTTACATTCTAATGATGAAGCAGGTAACACAATGATGAAAAAGCCTGCAGGCTGTAATTGGAGCTCTAGAGGTTGCTTGAAAGGAGATACAGACAGGAGCATTTAAGCTGACCCCTGAAGAAGGAGTTCACCCAAGCAAAAAGGTGAGTGTGAATAAAACTCAAAGGACATCTGTGAAGAACTCAAAGGAAATCTGTGTGGCTGGAGTGAAGTGGAAGGAGGGTGTGCTGGATTGCCCCAGATGAGGTTGGAGAAGTAAACTAATCAAATATTTTAATTATGAGACTGGCTTGACCTGTGATTACATTTAAGAAGATCACTCTGGGCTTATGTGTGAAGAACAGATTTGAAGGAACAATAGCAAAGACAAGAAGTCTGGTGGGTGGGCTGTGGCTGTGGTTCAGGTTGATAGCACAGATAAAGGTGGTAACTAAAACACATACAAGAATGAATGAGGCCAGGCTCGGTGGCTCACGCCTATAATCCCAGCACTGTGGGAGGCCGAGGTAGGCGGATCACCTGAGGTCAGGAGTTCGAGACCAGCCTGGCTTACATGGTGAAACCTCATGTCTAATAGAGATACAAAAAATTAGCTGGGTGTGGCGGTGCATGCCTGTAATCCCAGCTACTCGGGAGGCTGGAGCAGGAGAATCGCTTGAACCTGGGAGGTGGAGGTTGCAGTGAGCCGAGATTGCGTCACTGCACTCCAGCCTGGGCCATAGGGTGAGACTCTGTCCCCACCCCCCGCCACAAAAAAAAAAAAAAAAAAAAAAAAAGAATGAACAGTGTTCCAGACATATGTAGAGGTAGAAAGAGTAGAGAGATTCCTAATGGGTTGTGCAGTAATAGCTCACTGGGATATTGGGTAGTCTCATGGGTAGATTAGACTTATACAGACTATATACAAGTATAGATTAGACTTACATAGACTTAGACTTAATCTTTACTGGGTACTTGGGGCAACGTGGGGTGTAAGAATGGTGTATGCCAGGCATTGCTGTAGGAGTGTGACATCAGTAAGCACATTTAGTTCTGAAGCCATATTTATATGTACATAATATTAAAAATTTACTAGTCCTTTAAGCCTTCTCCCTTCCATCCCATCCAGTCTTTGATGCCTGCTTCCAAAATAAAATAATTCTCCATGCTTTAATCCGCTGTTTCAGGGCATGGAGTGGTATATCTTCTCATTTCTATAAAACAGGCACACATTGTGGTTGTATTCATGATTTTTCAGTTTTAGATATTTTCTGATCACTCCCTACTTTGGAAAAAAAGGATGCACCCTTTTTAATATCCACTCAAAACACACACACACACACACACACACACACACACACACACACGCACACCTTTCTACCAGCCTTTCAATGTAGTTTTGTCATAATTTTTGATTAGATTAACTGAAAAATTTTTTAACATCATATTTGTCATGCAAATGCTAGTCATAATAGAACCATGCTGTATAATACAAATGCATTTCTTTTTTATACAGATTTTCTCTTCCCTGAAGGTAATAACTGTCTCATTTTTCATGTGCCCAGTTTCCCAGGTACCTATCACTATTTCATATGGAAACACCAGAGTGACTAAGGGAGGTTCCCTTCATTTCTTTCTTGCTTTGCTGTGGCCTGGCTGATTTCTAGGACTGCTACACAGCCATCTTTCTTGGAGAACTGAAGGTATCTCTCTTCAATACCATCCACTGAATTCCCATTGCCTCTCTCCTATAGTGGAGCCTCTGCTTCTCTTTCTTCATTATTTTCCTGTCTTCAGAGACTATATTTTTCAACAGTTTTGGAGATGTTGCATCAAGATCCCGCATATTTGAAAATGTGTACATTCTACTTCTCACTCTTGTTTGATACTTTGGATAGGTAAAAAATACTACAATGAAAATAATTTTCCTTTGGTTTTATATATTTCCTGATCTACTAAATCAGTCACCTTCAATTTCCTACTTTTCAATAGTACAATTTCCTGTATTGTTATTTTTAATGTGGTTTTTCAGAATGAGGGGAATGGTAAACAAATATGCTTTTATCACTTAAGCCAATACTAGTTGCTCTAACAGATAAACCCTCAAAACTTGGTGGCATAATGCAATATGAGTTTCTCTCTAACATAAATTCCATTTGGTGATGTCTTTGTGTTTGCTTTTGTAGGAAAGTTCTGCTCTTGTAGCATCCAGGACCTAGGAGCTGTCTTTAGTACATGAATGGATGTTAATTCCCACATAACAGATGGGGAAAGAGACAGAGCTTTGTATGATGAAGAAGTTTTTGTGTGTCAAGTCTAAGTGACACGTGTCACTTCCAACCACTTTTCATTAGCCAGAACTCAGTCAAATGGCCATCACTAATATCAAGAGAGGCTAACAATAATACTATCTGTGCGTCCAGGCATAAATGGAAATTTCTGTATCTGGTACATTGCTGTTAAAGAAAAGTCACCATAATTTGACATAACTAGCTAGGAAGTTATATCATGGAAGCATTATAGGAAATTAGGTAATATTCTATCAAATTGAAAACACACACCTGGCTACAACTTTGAAAGAAAAATTTCAACTCTATTCCATTCTCTGCCACAGTGTTCAGTTTATTATATTTATCCAGAAAACTAAATTATTTGAATTATTGTAAAAGCTGTGGCAATAATTATGATGATAATAATAGTAACAATAATAAGGTACATTTATTATATTCTAAATCAGTATCTGATACTATGGTGAGTTATTGGGCCTTTTCTATTGTGATTTATACAATAAAACATGCATGAGCTAGGTAATATTTTTATCCCCATTTCATGGATGAACCACAGAGAGGCCAAGAATTTGGTCATAGTCCTATGCTTAATATACACTGGTTTTGAGACTATGCCTGTGTCACTCAAAAATGTAATGGTGTTCCCACTACATCATTCTGCTTTATATTATGTCATGGGATTTAAATAGAGCCATATAAAAATGTCTACGATATGATGTGTCTTCGATTCTCCATCATTATACCCTCTCCGACCCAATCAAAAATTTGTGTTTGAGTTATAAGAAGCAAATGAATAGTTTCAGTATTTATGAATCTTATTTTTAATAAAAAATCTTGGATACTTGCTCTTTATGGTCAAACTGCTAAAATTCATAAGTGGCATAAATAATCTGACAATAGCAAGCCCATTGTGTTTAATGTATGTTCAGTGGCATAATTCAGTCTCACAACTTGTCCTCCCTGGTAAAGCTGCCAAGCTGAAACAATGAAGGGTTTTAGCTGCAAAGTGAAGTTTGCTGGAATTATAATATTCCTTGTGACCTCTGGGATGACTAAACACTATTTAATTCCTTCTCTTTATTCACTACAATGAAAAAGGCTTGGAAACCTGCTGGAGCAGAGGTAACGTTTCCTTTTGAGACCATAGCCAGACATTAATACTCTCAGGGGAGGGGGGATAACGCTTTCAATTTGGTAGTGGAATACCTTATTTACTGTAATGGTACAAATGTCTTATTCCTCGTTGGTATTGTAAGAACTATGATGTAACACCAGAGTCAATTATCTCAAATTATAGTGACTGTAATAATTAGACTTTTTCTTCTCTAGCAGTGCACTAAAAATTTAGCTGTGGCTGAAATAGAACTCATTTATAACTGCTGAAGGTAGCTATACAAGAGCAGCATGTGGCTCCTTTTTCAAGAGCTTTAGCTTTTAGGTACTGTTACTGCTAATTACTTCAGGTGAGAAACACGATAGCTGTCAAACTTTACCATCAACTCTTGCTTTGAACCAGCTAAAATAGAAATGCTTGAATAGTTAAGAGTCCGTTTCTTTCACTCACCATTACATGGAGGTGCTAAATGCAAAGAAGCTGTAGTCGGCATCTTTGTGTTCAATCCCCTTCCCTGGCTGATTGAATAGCATTTGATCTGATGTGAAGATTTTTAACGTCCTTTCTATACATAGCCCCAGCATGATCAATACCAAAATGCATCTCCAATCCAGGCTACTTTACATCCCATTTGCCTAAAGAGTTTATGTAATGAAATTCACAAGAGGCAAAATCTATAAATGAGTTACTGACAAAGAGGGAATGGCACCCAGAGATGCTGATTCTAAAAAGGAGTAGTACCTGAAGCTGACTGATAAGGTTTTAAAACCACATGCCTGTATCATCAGCAACACAGCCAGCACTAGGCAAGACGAAGAAGCTAGAGCAATCTCTAGCACTGCTGGGCTCCGTATTTCATGGTGGCATCTGCCAGCCCCTGTTTTCCCACTTCCTCCTTAGGTACTTCCTATGCCTACTCCCTATTCCAAAGCCTGTTCGAAAAGCTTGTTTTCTAATTCCTCAGTTACACAAATCTCACAAATAATAGATTAACAATGTGTTACTGTACTCATATGAGGAGAGGTTGCATTTTCATAATGAACTAGCCTAGGTGAAACAAAATAATGGAATTTTACATTAAACCAAAAAGCTTGAGATCGTCTTGGCACCCATAAAACTCACACAATGTAATAAGTTTCTTATTTTTCCTAAGGGTAAAATAAATGCAGGTATTCAATAAAATTTAGAGCCCAGAGAGGTAGAGCTAGAGGAGTTTTCCAAGCTAGTATTTCCCTTTTAAAATGCAATACATGAAATAGCCCTATCAGATGAGCAACACTGAGGGTGCTTGTTAAACAAGCAAACAAATACAGGAAGTCATACAAATTTTGGGGCCTTAGCCAAATAGAATAGAATTGCTTGTAGTGAAGCCCCAGAATCTGCATTTAGACAAGCACCCCCAGATGTTCTTATGCTATGATCGTGGTTATGGAGTCAATCTACCTGAGTTCCTGTACTCAACTCAACCATTCATTATAGGCAAATTATTTAGGAGATCTGTGCTTCAGTTTCCTCATCTGTAAAATAGGGATGATAATGGAACTTATCTCATTAAATTGCTATGGAGGTTAAATGAGTTAACAATTACAAAGCATTTAGAATAGGGCCTGGCGCTATATGGGTGTTTGCTAAATAATGACTACACTAGACTTTGAGAAACACAGATCTAATGATATAATGCCTTTAAAATCATTGCTACAATTTCAGATAAACAGTCTGAAAGATGATGTTGGTAAGTGTGGTATAAAATGAAATAAATTTAGTCACGTTCAGGTCCTGTCACAGAGCTCCTAAAACGTTTGGAATTTCCTAAGCGATAGGGGTATCTTTTGTTATTCACAATGAGCTCCTTTCATAGCTACCTGAATTGTTGCAACTGAGGTGACTTAACAAGAGTGTGGGGTCTCTAGATGGCCTCAGGATGGGGACCATCAGGAGAAAGAACTCATTAAAGGATTAGATGATTGGAACTTTCAGTCCCACCCATTGACCTCTGAGAAAGGGTGGGGAGGATGGAGATTAGGCTTTATGACAACTCCTGAACAACAAGGTTTGATGAGCTTCCAGGTTGCTGAACACATAGAGGTGCTAGAAGGGTGGCATCCAGAGAGAGCGTGAAAACTCCTTGCCCCTGTGGTGTACCTTGCCCTATACCTCTCCTTACCTGGTTGTTCATCTGGATGCTTTGTAATTTACACCCTTTAAAATAAACCAGTAAGCATGTTTTCCTAAGTTCTGTGAGCCATGAAACTGCCTTTGCAAAGATTATGATTGAAATTGCCTTTGCAAAGTTATGACAGTGAGAGAAATCTGACACAGTTCACTCCATCTTGCTTCCGACCTCCAAGCTGTCTTTGGGTGTAGGCCAAGCTGGGTGTAGGCCAAGCTAACTGGGTGAGAAATTTAGTTTATAGTTTAACCTTAAAGCAAGGATGATAATAGCCTTTCCCAAAACAAAACCACCTTTGTAAAACTAATGAAAGGCCACAAGGTTAAAATTATAAGAGGGGCCCAAATTCTGCTAAGATGTAGGTGTAGTTAAATAACAACCAACCATTGTTTTTCACAAGATTGGTAACTTCCCCAATTACTTCTATAGATAACATCACTATTACAGACCCTAAGATTGGTCTTTTGAGATATTTTTTCAGACTTCGGTGTTTCTGACTCCATCAGCCCTATGGCCCCACCCAGAGGTTCACACAGCACATGAGGACATTTTTCCACACCCCTATGATTTCACCCCCAACCAGTCAGCAGCACCCATTACCTAGCCTTCTGCCCACCAAACTATCCTTGAAAAACTCTCACCTCTGAGCCTTTGCGGTGACTGATTTAATAACTCTCTCTCCTACATGGCCAGCCTTGTGTTAATTAAACTCTTGCATTATTGCAAAAGCATGGTCTCAGTGAATTGGTTTTGTCTGTGCAGTGGGCAGAAATAACCCGTCTGGCAATTACATGACAGTGGGAGAAGTCTAGCATGGCTGAACATATCTTGCATCTAGCCTCACAGACTGGCTAACCTCTCTTATTCCTCAGCATAGGCCAAGCTAACCATGGGAGAAGTTTAGTTTATAGCTTAACCTACTAAGGATGATGATAATCCCTCCCTGGAACTAACCCCCTCTTTGCCTAGGGAACAAAGCTACCTTTGTAAAACTAATCAAAGGCCAGAAATGAGATTAGGATCATGGGAGAGACCTGAATTCAGCTAAAATGTAGATACAGTTTCTATATTCCCTTACTTCTCAGGAGTCATGTGGCCAGAGGTCACAAGATTTGTGACTTCCCCAGTTGCTCCTATAGATAACATCACTTTTGCAGAACTTAAAATTGATCTTTTAAGATGTTTTTTAGACTTGTGCATTCTGGTAATCCACTGACCCCATTCAGACTCATGACTCATAATGCAACGGGTTCTGTGGCTCCCATCCTATGGCAGACTCAGTACATGAAGACCGTTTTCCACACTCCAATGATTTCATCTCCAACCAGTCAGCAACACCCATTCCTTAATCTCCTGCCCACCAAATTATCCATAAAAACCCTAGCCTGACTTAGCAGGGAGGCTGATTTGAGTAATAGTAAACTCCTATCCTTCCACTTGGCTGTCCTTGCAGTAATTAAACTCTTTCTTTACTGCAATAATGCTGTCTCAGTGAATTGGTTTTATCTGTGCAGCAGGCAAGACGAACCCTTCAGACAATTACAGCCACTCTAGCAAAATAATCAGACCTAAAGAGGGAGTCAGGGGAACCCCAGTTTGCAGCTGGTCAGTCAGAAGTATAGCTGACAACCTACAACTTGAGATTAGCCCCTGAAGTGAGGGCAATCTTGTGGGACTAGGCCCCCAACCTGTGAGATCTGACACCATTCCCAGGTAGGTAGCCTCAGAACTGAATGGAATTATAGAATACCCAGTTAGTGTCTGCTAGAGAATTGTTTGATGGGTGGGGAAATCCACTACACATCTAGTCACAGAAGTGTTCCTTGTTAAGTGTGAGAGTTTATTACAGTAAGCATGTCTTATTAATTGAATCAACACAATTTATAAAAAAAATTGCATTACATATGTTAAAAGAAAAAATTATAATAAATTTAAAGATCTTAATTGGCTTTTATTTATAATTCTAGAATCAGATAACACCTTATTCTGTAAAATAGAATATAAATACAAAAACAGAATGAGTATTCTGATAAACTGAGCAGATTGGTTTTATACATAGAAAATGGCTGAGGAAAGAAGAAACAGAAAACAAAAGCAGATTGATTGTTTCAAAGTTACTTTCCCTGTAAAGGTAAAACACAGGGGACTTCCTTATCATGCTAGCTAAAACTGGCTTGTTTGGGGATTTAGCTATTATCATTCATTCTTCTCATTTCTGGGAAGGTCATATAAACAACTTAGTTTCACCTTGGTGATAGCATGAGTGACTCCATTTTGATTTGGTTTGTTGGGCCTAGTGTAGGAGCTCAATCCAAACCAATGGCCTCCTATAAATTTTATGAAACATATATGACTAAGTAGAAGGTACTGCATTTGTGTAGAATGCATTAAAAAGGAAGAAGCATATAGGCTTGTGATAGGCATGTGATCCTGGTTTTGTAACTCTTTGTCTAGGAATTAATTTATCCAAGAATATATTGACACAGGAAATATTTGCAAAAATGTTATGTAATATAGGTAATTTGTGAAAGCACAGAGAAGCCAGCAGGATGAAATAAACACCATAATATGCAAAGAAACTAGCTCTAGAGTATGTATTAAGACACTAATTTTATGAATGAAATGCCCATTGAATGTGTTGTATTTTGTAAAACATGGCTGGAATGATGTGTGTAAGTCATCCATGGAAACCTTATGCAATGCAATGAAAAGAGACTGGTTTGATTTTCTTTGAAGTGTTTTCTTGTAAGAAGAGATAAAAGCAGACATCTATTTTCTTTGATGTTTTTATCCTAAATTTTGTATTTGATTTTCCTATAAGCATTATAGAAAGTTTTCTTTTCAATTCACTATACCATATTCCTATTTTCAGAGAAGGAAAGATGTATAGGAATTGGCAAGTCCCTTGCGGGCATTTCAACAACTAAGAGCTGATTTCTCATGGCAGAGTTTCGAGTTTCACTTTTACTTTTCTAAGTTTTAATCCATTATGCAAAATAATGTTTCCACCTGAAACCAAATGTTCTGCACTTCAGTACTTTGCATGCTGTTTACTTCTCAGAAGAGAAAAGAGACGTGTGTTAAACCTCAGATAAGCAAGGCACACGTCTACGAACCACAATGATATCATTCAATGCCATGTTTATACCTAGTTAGAAATAAGGGAACATCTGCTGATTAAAAAATAGAACTGTAATAGTGGCCAGCAGGGAATAAAACACTTTATTGAGCTTTGTTCTGTAGATGGAAATGTGCTTTGTAGAAAGTGCTTTATTTGCAAATAAAACAACTAACTGCTGGGGCTAGAAATACATTCACAAAGTAGATTCTGAACTAATTTTGAGAAAATATTCACTTTAATGTGGGCATTAGCTAATGCTTCTGCCTTCCCCCAAATTTACGTTGTTTCTGACTATTAGAAGGAAGACTTACGTAGCTCCCAACAAAATCCTGCTTAATAGGACTCTATTTACACTGAGCCAGTATTGCCATTCCTGGGGCCTTTTCCTTAATTTCTTCCAAAATGTCTTTGGTCCTTTCATTCATTCATTTGATAAATAACTAAAATCCTGGTATATCTCTTTCGGTACCTAACACATCCCATCTCATTCCATCTTGGGTTTTTGTTTGTTTGTTTGTTTGTTTGTTATGGCCTGTTAAAGGAAATCTTGAAACACATTATGAACAAAATGAGATACCGTGATATCTTTATTTTCAACTTGCCTCCCCTCCCTTGGCCTGGATAGTCTCTTTAGAGGTCACTCAGGTCTTCCTAAGTTTCAATGCCAAAATCTTTTACAGTTTGATTGGCCTTTTCTTGAAACTATTTCCTGGCTGAACAACTGCAGCACTAAACATGTGTGGCTCTTCCTCCACATCTCTAAATATTCCTTCTCTAGTTCTTCTTCATTCTCCTGTCTCCTAAAGAGTGATATTACAGAAGGCATTGCTCTCAGGTCACGTTTTTCACCCATTATGTGTTGGCCTTCCCTCTTCCTTGCTTCCTCACTCTGTTACTCTCTGTGTCTTGGTGCATATCTCTAACCTATTGCTTTCATCCTTCTCTTCTCCAAGCTGTGGCCATCTTAGTGTCTTGGTCTTGTAATCTTTAGTTTTAATTAGAAATAGAGAACTGTAGATTTATAAAACAAAGAGGACACAGGCATGGTTTGATAAAAATAGATGGCAATAGTTTAGCCTTCGGCAAAATAGGGGAGGCTGTGGCAATGTATATCTCAACCTTGAAAATCATCACTGTCATTCTGATGGGATAGATTGAGAAAGGGGTTCTGGAGTGCAGGCCAAGTTGTCTTGTATAGTCAGCTCTGCTGTAGCCTGAGGACACCATGGGTAGAGCTAAGACTGAATATTTATTCATTTATTTAGTCATTCACTGAATTTGTTTATTCATTTATAGACATTTAAGAATTGGAGTGCATACTCAATGTTAGGCTATTTTTACTTTTCATAGTGAAATAGCAATTAATAAGGCAGTCTCTGTGTTCAGGAAGCTTACACAGTTTTCTGGTAAGGAGAGACAGAGAGTAACCTATAAAAACACATTGATTAGCAATCCATCAAAGAATTTCAAATAGAATATAAGTGCCGTGAACAACAAAAAAGACAGGATGATGGGAGAAAGAATGACTAGACAGGGGGGAGGGGATAACTAGATTCTTAGGAAAGCCTCTCTGGAGATTTGAAGTTGCGGAATGAAAGCTGAAGTGCAAAGATCTGGAGGGAGAGGGAGAGGGAGAACAAGTGCCAAGCCCTGAGATCAGGATGAACTGAACGAAGGAGAAATGAGTAGAAGAAGATGGGGTTCAGGACACAGGTAGCGACGAGGGACTTTTAAGGAGCTTAGGTTTTCTTCTTATTGCAATTGGGAAGCGATTGGAGGGTTTTAAAACGCTGAGTGTCACTCATCTACAGTTGACTATTGAACAACACAGGTTTGAACTATGTGGGTCCACTTACACGCGAATTTTTTTCAATAAAACTTACATTGAGTGTTCCTGCCTCTCCTGCCTCCGCTTCTCTCTCATCTCCCTCTTCCACCCCTGATATAGCAGGGCCAACCCCTCCTCTTCCTTCTCCTCCTCAACCTACTTAATGTGAAGACAGAGAGGATGAAGACCTTTATGATAATCCCCTTCCACTTAATAAATAGTAAATATGTTTTCTCTTCCTTATGATTTTTCAAATAACTTTTTCTTTCCTCTAACTTACTTTATAGTAAGACTACAGTACATGATACAGAAAACATACAAACTATGAGTTATCAACTGTATGTTTCCAGTCAACAGTAGGCTGGTAATGGTTAGGTTTTGGGGGAGTCAAAAGTTATACACAGATTTTCAACTGCTTGGGGGTCAGCTCCCCAACCCCTACATTGTTCAAGGATCAACTGTACATCTTTTTCCTTTTTCTTTTCTTTTTTTTTTTTTTTTTTTGAGACAGTCTTGCTCTGTCACCCAGGCTGGAGTGCAGTGGTGCGATCTCGGCTCACTGCAACCTCCGCCTCCCAGGTTCAAGCAATTCTCCTGCCTCAGCCTCCTGAGTAGCTGGGATTACAGGTGCCACCACCATGCCTAGCTATTTTTTGTATTTTTTAGTAGATTCGGGGTTTTACCTTGTTGATCAGGCTGGTCTCGAACTCCTGACCTCATGATCTGCCTGCCTTGGCCTCCCAAAGTGCTGGGATTACAGGTGTGAGCCACTGCCTCCAGCCTTCAATTGTACATCTTAAATGATGGCTCTGACTGTAGTGTGGAAAATGGACTATAGGGGACAGGGGAAGAAGCAGGGATAATAATTAGGAGGCTGGGGCAGGTTTCTAGAGATAGAGATTTAATTTAGAGTGGTATGAGTGGTCCTGGTGAGGTTTTTCGTTTAAACATTAGTATTTTTAAAAAACTATTTTTTGTAGAGATGGGGTCTTACTATGTTGCTCAGACTGGTCTTGAACTCCTGGCCTCAAGAGATTCTCTTGCCTTGCCCTCCCAAAGTGCTCGGATTGCGGGCATGAGCCACAGTGCTCAGCCCTTTCTTATTGTAAAATAAAGCATAGATACGGAAAATCAGACAAAATGATTACATAGCTTAATGATATTCTAAGGCAAATACCCTCGTAACCACCACCCAGAACAAGAAATAGAACTTGGCCAGCCACTCCAGAAACCCTCCACATGCCCCATACTTATTAAAATCCTTTTTCTCTGCCAAAATAAGCACTATTTTTACTCTTGTCCTTTTTTCTCCCTCCTATTTTTTACAATTTTATCACCTAGTGTGCATTTCTAGACATCATAGTTGGGTCAAGCTCATTTCTTTCTTATAGTTGATGTATCTTTGAAGCCTCTTTTAAGCTAAAGCTTTCCACGTCCTTCCTTTTCTTTTCTTTACATTTTATTTGTTAAAGGATGTAGGGTATTTGACACATAGGTTTTCTTGGTCTGGAATTAGCTGATTGCATAGCGTGGTGCTGGCATTTTTCTTTTTTTCTGTATTCCTGAAAATTGGACCCAGAGTCTTCATCAGACTTGGATTTAATCCTTTAGCAAGATTATTGGTGGTACTGTGTTCTTTTATTAGGAAACACATTACATCTGATTATAACATATTTGTGATACTAGTAGGAAAATGCATTAGGAGTTGCAAAATGGTAATATTTTATCATTTCATTTCACTTCTTATGAGAAATAATTTTATAAATAGACACTTCCCTTTCTCTACTAGTTGGTTACCCAATGGTATAATTCATACTGTGAAGCTGGGATCAATGCTTGATTTTTTACCATTAATAGACAGTTTTGGCAATAATTTTTTTCAATCATTTTCCTAAGATAACAAACTCGTTTAAAAAATATGATTGTTTAGCCACTTTGAAAAATACTATGGCAATTTCTTGTAAAGTTAAGTCTACACTTATAATGCAGTTTAGCAATCCCACTACTCGGTATTTACCTAAGAGAAATGAAAATTTTATTCACAATAAAACCTGTAAGTGGATAATTATATTGGTTTTAATTCATAATCACTCAAACTAGAAACAACCTAAATGCCCTGTAACTGGTGAGCAGATAAGCAACCTATGGTACACCCATAAAATATAATTCTACCTACAAATAATGAGGAACAAACTATTGACACACACAATGTATATCAATCTCAAATGAATTTTGCTGTGTAAAAGAATACAGGCTCAAAAGGCTACCTATTAGATTATTTCATTTATACAACATTCTATAAAAGGCAAAATTATATGGCTGGAGAACAGATAGTGGTTGCCAGGGGTGGGGGCAAGGAAAAGAGTCACAAGCAAATATTTTGGGTTGATGGAACTGTTCTGTATCTTGAGTATAATAGTGGTTATGCGTCTGTCAAAATTCACAGTAGTATACCAAAAAATAGATGTTTAATCTCTATACATTTTAAATAAATAAATGTGAGGTTTAGGAGTGACAACATGGGGGTAGGGGTCAATAATTAACTTTGGAGAGAGCAGTGTATATAAAGTGTTCTTTGCCATTTTTTCTTCTTTCAGGGGAGAAAGGAGTGTGGTTAATTGCTTGGAAAAATATTATCTTCAACTCAAGGAGTTAAACAGCATTTATTGGATTTTGGTCTATTACATTATTATTATAGGAGTCATTGTTCCAATAAGTTTCAAATAAACCCATCTTTGGCCAATGACTCTTCGGATTAGCTATGGTGCTCCTTTGACATGATATCAAAAAGTAGTCTGATAACTTCCTTCGTATCGGGAATCACAATATATCCCTGGCTCAACTTGTATAGTCCTGCCCCAGACCTAAAATAAGCACCATAAAAAGCCTTTGTTTATTTCAGTAGGAAAAGATATTTCAAGATCGCGATCCATGCATTGTATCTCGGAGATCAGAGATACCTTCTCCTAACTTTATTGTCAGTGTTGTCCACCGATTTTGGGGTTTGCACTCTATTTACTTATCTGTTTTTATGTGGTGGCTCATAAGATTCAACACCTCTTCTACTCCTGCTGCCACTATGTTTCTAGAATTCCTAGACGATAACTTTTTTTAAATTCAAGATTTATTTTGTAAGTAGAGAATTTCTGATAAATTGAATGTGACTTGTGGGAGAACAAAAAATAACACGTGGTGACTATTAGTTTTCTGACCTGAGTAGCTGAGTGAATGTAGACGTATTTCACCTATCAGGGAAGGCTGGGTGAGGTGGTGGGTAGGTTACGGGCAGAAGGAACACATGGAGACACATTCAGAGTTCTAATGTAGATATGTTGTTTGAAAGTCCCATTAGACATGTAGGTAGAGTACTTGATTAAATGAGTTTAAAGCTTGGGGACAAGGATAAGGCTAGCGATACGGACGTGGGCTGTCCTGAACACATTGATGATTTTAAAGCAGTGAGACTAGATGAGAGTGTAGACAGAGAAAAGATGGCAACACAGGACAGAGCTTCAGGGGACTCACAGAGGACCCGTCGAGGAGGGCCCAGGAGGCGGAGTAAGAGCTGCAGGGCAGGTAGAAGGAAAGCAGTGCATCCATAGCTGTGACAGAGAAAGGGACAAGATTGTGGCTCATGATTTCAGTGTGATTACCTTCAGTGGAACAATGAAGAAAATATTTTTGATTTTCTAAGATATTATTGTTCTTTGATTTCATGGTTAAAATGTAGAGCTAACATACTCTATCTTGGCCATGCTTTAAGGTCTGTCTTCTTGATATGTAGTTTTTATCATATCTAATTCAAAGACCTATTACTTCTTAGGTCTTATTGTGTAAAGTCCAGACATCTTAGTCTTTAAGGCTGGCCATCAAAAAATCCAAACCATCTTCCAGTCTCATCCTGTATTAGCTCTCTCTAGATGGCCCACCACTTGCAACATTAGCCTTTACTGCTTCTCAGTTCTCTGTATATTCTTTATGCTCTGCTACTCATGGACCTTCCTTGATATGATTCCACCACCTGCAGTCCCTCTTCCAAGCCAATTCCCCATGTCCACTTGTCTAAATCAGACTCATGGTTAAAGCCGCTTAGAGGAGCCACATGAAAGGCCCCAGCCACCGTGAATCTTGGTTTGATGATTATTCTGCATCTAATGCCCTGACTTAAGGGAGTGAATTAGGACAAAAGAAGATGCCAATATTCCAAAAGAAAATTCATGCGAGAATTTTATATGAAAAAGAAATAACATTTTTCTTAAAGTCAAAGCCTTAATGATTATTAGAACAATAACAAATAAAAGCTATTATAATCAGAGCCAGATAAAACAAGAACCAAATAAACCTTAAGTTTCAGTGCCACTTACTTGTTCAAGCCCTTTCAAGTCTCTGTACTTAATTTTTTTTTTTTTTTTTTTTTTTTTTGAGATGGAGGCTGGAATGCTGTGATGCGATCTCTGCTCACTGCAACCTCTGCCTCTTGGGTTCAAGTGATTCTCCTGCTTCAGCCTCCTGAGCAGCTGGGATTACAGACATGTGCCACCATGCCTGGCTAATTTTTGTATTTTTAGTAGAGATGGGGTTTAACCATGTTGGCCAGGCTGGTCTCGAACTCCTGACCTCAGGTGATCGGCCTGCCTCAGCCTCTCAAAGTGCTGGTATTATAGGCATGAGCCACCATGCCTGGCCTCTGTACTTGATTTTGTGCTTGTAATGTTGTATTTTTTTTGTAAAGAATACCTCTGAAATTGTTGATGCATATGGACCCACAAAAGATTCATTCTTGTTTATTATAGTACAAAAAATAAATAAGAACTGAAGTATCATGGAATTAGTAACTGACCAGTTACCCCATATCATGGCCAAGTTACTTAACTTTCCTCTGCTCTTGTTTGCTCAACTGAAAAATGAAGACAATGTCACCTTCTCTACCTAGATCAAAGACTTCTGCTGAGGATCAGGCAAGAACTTTCAAGCATCCAACAAATATTTATCAAGCACTTATCATGTGCTAGGTGCAATGCCCATTGTTGGGAACTCACTGGTGAATAGACATGTTTCATGCTCTTCTGCTGATAACAGCTTAGTGTGAGACAGATATTAAATAAATGTATTATATGTAAGAGCACTTAGTAAACTATAATGTGATAACTATAATGCCACAGATGTGATATTAAAAACATTTTCGATGTCTATGTTGCTTCTATAGATCTGCGTTTTTTAATCGTCGATATATTCGGAGATGATTAGTTCATGGAGGAAAAAAAAAACAACATTCTCAACTACCCCAAATCCATAATTAATTCATACCAGCAAGTCAATTAAGTAATGGATAATGAAAAATATATAATGGCCATGAGGACCAATATTCAAAATAGCTTTTCAACAGATTCTTTTCCAAGAGAAAAGCCTCCTTAAATACAGATCAGAAATTTGCTTACTAAACATGTAAAGTGAGAAAAAGCCAGGAACTGTGAAGTTAAATCTAGGTAGGCTATCAATGGTAGAGTCAGCTGAACTGGGTGTCTTCCTTCTAAGCAATACTGGAAGGATATATCCTCCAAATGTGTAATGCTGTGTAGACACAGATGCTGTCAATGTCCTCTTCAATATATTTTCTCCCCATGCAATAATACAAAGTATTCAGTTTTAAGGAGGATTGCATTATATAGTAGTTAAAAATGTGGACTCTGGAGTCAGACAGACCTAGTGATGAGAATCTTGATTCCTCAGAGTTTACACAACACTCTGGAGAGATTTATATACTACCATGCAAGGCAGTATGATTCACAGAAATCAGCCTCACTTGTGGAGAAAGAAAGACATGCAGTATTTGAATCCCTGCTCTAATATATATTAGCTGTGTGACCCTAGGTAAATTATTAAATTTTCTTGGCTGCAGTTTCTTCTCTGTAGAGTTTAATTAATAATAGTCCCTTTCGATGAGGCAGTTAGTTATGAGGATGCAATGAGAGAATAAATATAAGGTATTGAAAACAGTGCCTGGCATATAGTAAGTGCTCCATAAACATTTACTACTGCTACTACTACTGCAACCACTGCTATGAAAAACTATTACTACCACCTCCACTGCTGCTGCTGCTGCTACTATTCGAGGCCTAATTTACCTCAAAACAAGCTCAGAGTATTTTAGGCACTATTTACTTAATTCCTTAGGCACTTGTTAAGTGTGGGTCTACTGGCCTCAGATGTTACCAAGTGACATAGGAATGCGCAACTGACTTAATACTTACTAGACCATACTCTTCAGCTTGTAGGAAGACTCAATTCTTGCCATATACTAATTGGGCCTCATACACTGGAAGTGCCAGATGAAGAGGGAAGCTGATATAATCAGTTGGGCAGTCTTATCAAGTTGAGGGTCGTGGTGCTCAATTGAGTTGAAGGTGACGTTCAGCCTTCCGCAGGCTGTCATTCGCCAAACCCACTTCTCCTTTTCCCTTCTGCCCAGATGTTGGCTATTGCAAAAACACAGACTGCTTCTACTGGATAAATGCAATCTAAAGAGAAGGACAGAAACATGTCTTTTCCCTCAAAAGAATAGCCAAAGGAAGGAAAAAGATGAAAAGAAGTCAAGGTTTCTTTGGCTGCTGTGTAAAATGTGAGGGACGTTGCCAAAGAGAAGAGAAAAGCCTTGCTAGAGGAAGAACTACGACAAATGCTAAGAACTGAAAGGACAGACAGCAGGAATGGAATGGAGGGGAAATGTTTAACTCAAGAAAGAAGGAGAAGAATGTTGATTTTATTCGGTATTAATAACCGAAGAGAGTTGCCTGACATGGCGACAACTATTTAATGCCCTGCAGAATCCTGAATGTATGCCATCCATCTCCTCTGACAAGGGGATTATTCCAATCTCTTTACTGGGGTAAAGAAAAAGAACACAAAATGTTGTTTACTGTGAACTAGGTGTTCTTTTTTTTCTAATTTTCAAATTTCCTTGATAAATCTTCTGCATTTTGGTGTTTTCTGTTCCAATTAAAATAGTTGCCTGAGTTCAGTTTGTGGATATAATAACTAGGATTTCTTTCAGAGCTCCATTCCTAATTAAAAGCAGCATTTACAGAGAAAGGGTTTTACATACTTATGTATTACCTTATTCAATCCAAGCAAATTGCTTCCTTATGTAAACTTCTGAATAGTTTCATTTCTTCAAACATTGAAAGCCATTCTAATGTAGATTTTGCATTAATTTGGGGAAAGAAAATGGAGCATAGTCTAAGCCAGTTACTATTTCTAAAATTAATTCTTGATTTTATAAATTGATATAAACACACGTGTATTTATAAGTATGTGTCTGTGTCATGGACACATGGAGGAAAACAACACACAGTGGGGCCTGTGGGGAAGGCAGGGGGAGGGACAGCATCAGGAAGAATAGCTAATGGATGCTGAGCTTAATGCCTGGGTAATAGGTTGATCTGTGCAGCAAACCACCATGGCACACGTTTACCTATGTAACAAACCTGCACATCCTGTTCATGTACCCTGGAACTTAAAAGTTGAAGAAAGAAATAAAAATAAATATAAGTGCATGTATCTTACTATCTCCATAAGCCAAGTGAATTCTGAATATTTTGATTATTCAGAAATTTATGCAAACAATTTTCCCTTTAAGTATTTTTTTCTTTCTGGGAAATGAGGGTTAGAATTGGGGAGAAAATAGCATATAGTGGAAAATACCATATAGTATAGTGGTAACAGCATACACTTGAATAATATGTGTCACATTATTTTTGTATACACTAACTAATTTAATCCTAACAAAGCCATTATTAATTATTTTTCCCATTTTACCAATAAGAGAGTTGAAGTACAGTGAGACTAAGTTATTTGCCTAGGGTCACTAGATTTTAGGGAAAGAAGTGGTGTTCAAATCAAGGCAGCCAGGGTCCAAAATTACCTTCTCTTTTACCACAGCACTAGGACAGTCTAAAGGAGAGAAGTTGTCTTTACAGACTGCTATGGTTTGGATGTTTGTCCCCTCCAAATATCATGTTGACATTTGATCCGCAATATGGCAATGTTAGGAGGTAGGACCTAGTGGGAGGAGTTTGGATTATGAGGGTGGATCCTTCATGAATAGATTAATGCCCTCCTTCAGAGGTGAGTGAATTCTTGCTCTGTTAGTTCCTGTGAGAGCTGGTTGATTAAAAAAAAAAGAAAAGATCTCTTGCCATGTGATCTCTGCACAACAAGTCCCCTTCCTCCTTCTGAGGCCCTCATCAGACATAGGTGCTGAATCTTGAATTGTCCAGCCAGCAGAATCATGAGCCAGAGGAACCTCTTTTCTTTATGAACTTCCCAGTCCCAAATATTCTGTTATATCTGTGGTGGTGGGCACCTGTAATCCCAGCTACTCAGGAGGCTGAGGCAGGAGAATCACTTGAACCTGAGAGGTGGTGGCTGCAGTGAGCTGAGATTGTGCCACTGTACTCCAGCCTGAGCGACAGAGTGAGACTCTGTCTCAAAATTAAATAAATAAATAAATAAATAAATAAATAAATAAATAAATAAATAAAATATTCTGTTAGAGCAACTTTAAATGAACTAAGACAGAGACAGACATATCAGGGCTCAGAATCTCACTTTGTCTCTTTCTGGCTGTTTAATGTGGGACCAGCCCCTTGACCTCTATGAACTCAAGGTTTTATACATCTGATAAAATTGGGCAATCACGCTTAGAACAATAGGTCTAGGAGGAAGGTCAAATTTAAGTTAACCTCTGTGAAATAATCTTTCTTCCCTTTCTTACCCAGTTTGGCTCTGGAGATTTAATTAAACTCAATTCATTATTAGCCCTTTCTTCTCCTACTTTATGCAGTCTCAGGCTGGCTGATGACTCCTGATGACCATAGATATAAAGAGCATTTTATCAGCCAGACTTGTTTCTGCATTTCACATGGGACTTAGTCCACTCATATGTCTTATTAGAGTGAACATGCCTGAAGCTTTCACACCTAGAATTGCTCGTGACATTGGTTCAAAAAATAAGCATAGCCTTTAATGGCTATAATCATATTTGTATTATTTTCTTAGCAAAAATACACTGGCACCAAGATTTTTTTATTTTGGTTTTGGTTTTGGAGATTCTGCAGCTGTATCTAACTGGGAGTTGACAGTATTGGATACCAGCCCAGACTGCTGTTCAGAGATGATCCAATGGTGCCCTTTAATTCTGGAGGTGGGAAGAGAGTCATTCCACAATTGTTCCTGCAGATAGGACACTTGGCATTCATCTTCTGTCTTCCTATTGCATATTATTTAGTGATAATGTGCAGACAAGACTTTTGGGAAACGATGTTCCCCTCATTGATTTCTAAAACTTTCCCCAAGCCTTAACAAGCCCAAAGGAAAATCTAGAAACCAGCATCAATCTAGTAACCAATTGTACCAATTTGGTCAATATATTTTCTGCCCAATGTCACAAAATAGAAAGCTTCAAAACCAACAGGTGTTTCAAAAGTAATAAGTTATTAGAGATGAAAACAGTTTGGCATGACTCTAAAAACAAAAATCAGACCAGTGAAATGTGTAGTTAAATAAATCAATTTCAGGAAAGCAAAGATAGAAATGTAAACCTAATGATTTCAGTGGCTCACTCTCCTGGATGAAAAAGCCTCAAGGTAGAAAGTTTCTGAAGGACCATGAAAATTAGATTAGATTTCTTCAAAGATATGTTCCCCCAAAGCCCACTCTTCTCTTTCTGCCCAGGGCTAGCTAAGACTTTCCCCAGTGCTATGATTTGAGTGTGTCCTTCAGAAATCAGGCGTTGGAAATTTAATCCTGATGTGGCAGTGTTGGGAAGTGGAACCTTAAGAAGTGATTATATCATCGAAAGGGATTAATGCTGCTCTCAAGGAAATGGGTTAATTTTCACAGGAGTGAGTGAGTTCCCACTCTTGCAGGAGTAGATTTGTTATAGGGAGAACAGGTTGTTATGAAGTGAGACCTCCTCTCATGTTGCATGCAGCCACTTCTCTGTCATGTTATGACATAGCACAAGCCTTTCACCAGAACCCCACTAGATGCCAGTGCCATGCTCTTGGACTTCCCAGCCTCTAGAACTGTAAGAAATAATTTAAAAAAATAATTACCCTGTCACAGATATTCAGTTATAGCAACAGAAAATGGACTAAGACACCTACATATAGTAGGTTATGTATATCTGACTATAATAATTGCATTATTAAGATTAATTATTCATTACATCTTATTAGCTTAGGTTCAATATTCCTCCAAATACTTGAAAACAAAACTCTTACACAGTTGCCTCTCGAATTTTAAAAATGTGTCTTATTTTTGAAAATAGACACTCATTTATTACACATTAGTACCCCTTGATACCTATATACAATGAATTTGTTATTTCACACATCAGTTGACAATGAACATTTCAAGCAATCTGATAGAGGCCGTGCATGCAAGCCAGTGGTTCAGTTTCACTATTTGTGTTTGTGCAAAAATATCTGAGTGATCATTTGAGTTCTTTATTGCATTTCATTTTTAAAATTGATAAGAATGATAGGTCTTATAAATTTTGTATAATTGAGGGAAGGACAGCAATCATTAATTTATGCCAAGAGTACAGAATCTGTAGCCGGTCAAGCCGTTCTATTTGTGATGGGAAAGAACAAAGAAAAATAAAGGCTCATTTGTGGAATACCAAAAATGTATCATCATGGAGTGTGTCTAAAGGGTGAGGTGTAATTAACCATGATCAAATTTCCTTTAGTTCTTGGGTAAACAGCTTTAGTTTATAACTTACGAATCTATTGTCAGACAGTCACACAGTGAGTTTTGAACTCATTTTTAGAGAGGCCTCTTGGGTGTTTGTGGCTGACAGACAACCTCTAGTCCACAAAGTTCTTCCTTATTTCTGAGCCTCCCTTCTCTTCAGCTGCTTACAACCCCTTATTCATCTGTATATCCTGAGCCAGACTTGCAAGAGGGTCAGTCATGTGCCAGTAGAGGTTTTGAGACCCTCTGCTTAAAAATCAATTTCAACATCTTATTGTTGCTTATGTGCACTTGGTTTTTAGCATTTGCTACTTTATCTGATACCTTGTTCTTGAATTCTGGTACAGTTTCATGCTCAATAGTCCCCTGAATTCTGTCAAGCAGAGGTTGCCAAACTTTTTCTGTCAAGGGCCAGGTAGCAACAACTTAACTCCACAGTTGTAGCATGAAGGTAGCCATAGACAAGATGGAAACGAATGGATGTGGCTGTGCTCCAATAAAACTTTATTTACAGAAGAGGCAGCAGGTAGTGGTTGAGTTTGGCCCACAGGCTGGAGTTTGTGAACCCCTGTTAATGATAATACCTTCTTGCTCTCTCAAATCTCATTGATTGATTTGAGGAACCACATCCTGTCAAGGTTCACCCTTTCTTAGGCATTACATAATTTACCCTCTCATACTTGTTATTGCTGGTTGTATAATTGCAATGTTCTGTGCCAGGCATACAGCAAATGAGAAAAATGTGCCTGGGAATGGGCAAGGTGAAATCCTTTAACACACTTATCACACCAGCAACAGCAGCAACAACTATTTACTGTGCACTCACTATGTGTCCTACCATTTTCTAAGTGGCTTCCATCCCTTGTGTCCTTTAACCTGCTCAACATTCTTCAGAAATAGATATTATTGGAATCCTAATTTATATTAGGTTGGTGCTAAAGTAGTTGTGTTTTTTTCCGTTTAAAAACACAATGGCAAAAACCACAATTACTTTAGCACCATTCTAATAGATGAGATGTCTGAGGCTTTCTAAAAGTTACAGTTAGGAAAGTAATCAGAGGTGGGATTGGATTCCATGCCTGGTTATCTCAGGAGCCATGGCAGGATGGTAGTCCAGTTTTTCACGGCCTGCCCCCTTTTTTTTTAAAAAAAAATCTTTATGTTCTAATGGTTCCATTTAGAGTAATATCTTCAGTTCTAAATAAGATGCTTCAAATGCAGTTTTTCATTTGATTCTCATAGCAACCCTCTTGTGGACAGCATGAGAAAATGAATGACCTTTCACTTCAGATGTGGAAATAGAAATTCTGAAACATTCAGTATCTTGCTTAAGGCCAAAGACAGTAAAATACCAGAGCCCGACCAGAAAACTAGGTTTTTTGACTTCTAATCAATGCTTTTCCCAACCACACCCTACTGGATTGTCAGTCATCCTTAACTTTTGATCTCCGTTTTAGTTTAAATCTTCTGCCTAACCAAGACACAGGAGAGAAAGAATACCATTTGAAACGTAGGATGTGTCATTGTATTTTTGCTCCCTTGCATCAAACTTGGACAGATGCATTCTCACATGTGTCTACACATAGTGACTATGAGCTAGCTCTTGAGTTCACATTGAAAAACAAAAACTGTAAGCTGCACACAGCAGGCCTGGAGAAAGAAGACCTGAAGAAAGTAGATCTTGAGTCACAGCCAAATTTCTGTTTTGAAGCCAAATGACCAGCCATTCAGCCAAGCTTTGTTTCTGAGAATGAAAGGCTAATGAACTCATCATCAAGTACACTGAGATACAAAGCACAATTGTGACTTTAACTTTAAGTAAATTATGAGGCTTCAACAGACAATAACACTGTCATCTGATTACATGCCCTTTTGAATGTAAAATTGGGATTTGTCTGAAAGAAAGAAGAGGGCACTAGACCATGCACATTATGCACTACTTACTAGATACTAAATTTGGTTATCAGTTTTAATAACTAGTACTAGACTTTACCATTAAATATAAAAATGGAGACGTATTCCTTTATTATCAATATCATAATTGTTCTTTGGTATCTTCAAATTCATTATGCTTGATAGAACTCTTACACAGTCAAGGACATCTTGCTGTTTGCATTTTTAATTTTCTTAGCACATGAAAGTCCAGCAGAAAATAGGACTTAATTCCTGATGAGCTTCTCTGTATTCCTTGGGGAGGATGTCTAGGTTTTTCCTTATATGATAATATTTACTCATTATACCTATTTTCGTCAATATTGATTATTTTTTGTAAAGTGAGGTGAGATCTTCCAATAAAATTTATGCTAGTTTAATCTACATGCTTTTAAGCTACTCTTTATTTCCCTATAAAATTCAGATTTCTGAGTCACAAAGCAGAGATTGCTCCAAAGAAGCTGTATTCAGCACATTCTACTCCAAAGAGACACATAATTAATAAAATTTGCGCACACCATTTTAAAAGGTGATCAGACCTAATCTTTCTGATGAGTGCTAGAGAAAACATATTTGACCAGCTCACAGATCATTTATAGTGCTTATATAATTTCTTTTTAAGAATTTTATTAAAAAATAATGCACATGAGTTGTTTATTATTGAAAATGCAATCTCCAATATCTTCCAACTCACCAGGGTGGATTCACTTGTGATGAATTTATATGCTACTTAAGTACAATTGATATTATCAAACAATGTCAGATTTAATTAGTAAAAAGCAGATTTTATAAACATTGACCTTGGTTCAGGGGAAATGGAAAAAAAAAAAACCCTGAAGATAAGGAGATAACAATTGATGGATGGAGCATTATTCTATTTGAGAAAACGAAAAACGGTAAAGCATTTAGAAATTGAATTCATGACCTGCAAAACAAGATCAAATTAAAAACTGTCAGACTGGTTAAAAAATCCCCGAATGTGTGAAGGCAGGAGAACATTCTAGTTCTGAAATGTAAATGAGGATAGTTAGAAATGTCTGAACTGAAAACTGGTTTTATTGTAGGAAAACGGAAAAAAATATTTAAAGGAGAGAAAAGGTAAGCGTATATATACTAGGTTCTGAATTAATGGTAACATTGGAAGAGAGATAAAGTGCCAGCAATGGCACAAACTAGGCTGATTATACATTCACAAGGAAAATGATTTTCTCTCTGTGTTATGCAAAAAGAATTGAAGTTCCTACTTAAGGAGTTGTAAGATGCTTTAACCTGTTATTACATAAAGTGCAATACAGTCTACTACATGCACTAAGCACTGTATTGCATGTGATAGCCAGTCAATAATGATTTACTAAAGGAATACAGCATTATTAAAACAAATTTGAAAATTGTCAGGAATAATAAAAGATAATGTATTTTCAGTGAATGTGTGAGAACAAATTAGAAGATATAGTTTGAAGTTCAAGAGAAAAATGGAGATATAGTACAGATAATACTGTGGATTTTTATACTTACAAGAAATCCTACTACAATTTCCCTGAGCTATAATTTACCTCTGTGAACTCTGATGATTATAAAGAAGTAGGATTATTTAACATATCATAAAGAAATCCTAAGGATATAAACCACAACTAAGAGGGCAAGTGATCTAATTTACCAATCCTAAAGAGAAATGAACATAAAATAAATAGATTCTACACAGTAGTGAATTTTAAAAGATGGGTAAAATTGAATTGGGTATTGAGCTAATATTAGTCAGATAGTAATGACAACAGTGCATTATGTTTAAAAAACACAATCATATTTTTAAACATCTCCCATTTCATAGTTCAGCAAAGATAGGGGTAGATATGAAACCATGTGATGAATGTAGAGACTGAGCCTTAGCAAATTTCCTCAGTCACTCATTTTACTAATATTTATGGAACATTTATTGTTTGCCAGGGTCTCTGCCAGAAGCTGGAGATATATATATATAAGTGATCCTCTGCTTTCGAGGAGCTTACAGTGCAGTGTGAAACAGACATTTATAAAATAATCAGACAGATGTCTATATAATTACCATCTGAGAAGTGTAAAAATAAAAAGCATGTACCTCTTCAATTTTTTTTTCTCTGAATGGAAAACTAATCCAAGTTATAGAGCCAGAGATGGCCTCCCTGAGAAAGTAACAGTAGTGCTGATACCTGAAGGATGAGTCATAACTAATAAGATAAAGGACTGAGGAGGATGGGATGGAAGGAAACAGCCTTCCAGGCAGAGAAAAAATCATATGCAAAAGCCCCGTGGTGGGAGTGAAAGTGACACAACTTCTCTGCTTAGAAAGTTCCTGTTCCTTCTTCAAAATCTACAGCAAATGATACCTCTTTTATCAGTTTCCCCAAGCTGCCTAGGAAATATATTTGCTCTATGTATTCTCTCCGAGCATTAGGGTCATAGTACTATAGCCTGCATTAACTTCTGGTGTAATTATTATTACGGGTATTACTTTTCTCCAACTGACCTTAAAACTTGAGGTGAGAGGCTCTCTCCCAGTTGCCCTTCTCGGGTGCTCCCTCAGCGGTGCATAGCACAACTGGTAGCAAAGATAGGCTCTAAATGAATATCTGGAAAATCAGTGAATATACTCTTACCTTCTTTTATAATGCCAAATTAGTATCTATCAAAAGGAACTTCTTTATTTTTTCTAACAAAATTTCAAGAAAGAGCATTTACTAAGAATGCTTTTTGAGCAAATTAAAATCACAGGTTTTAGAGGGTAAGTATGTAATATGGTAATTTGTTCAAGGAAATAACCAGAGCAAATGGGATTTTGGCAATGATTTCCGTGCATAACCTGAAAGGCAAGGCCAAAATCTCTTAAAATTTTGAGAAATATATCTAAATATAGTTTTCAAAATGTAAGGACTGGGTGATAGTCCTGTTCTTTGGGAATGAAAACAATTTATAAATGTTGTAGTAACGCCTGAAAAACATGTTAATTTATCTTTCTTTTTAATAATTTATTGTGCAGATGTGACGCATCTTTCTCTCTCTCTACACATTGCTGACTTTTCCCTTCTTGATAACAAGGCAATTTACACCCAAAGTGGTAGAGAAAAGTGCCCCAGAAGATGGAAATCTTCGGTTTTTCCACTGAGGCTGTATTGGATATTGATTTTGGAACGTGTGGAACAGTATTCTTTTTCCTAACTATTGCTACCGCTTTCTTTTTTTTTTTTCAGTAAACAAGTCAATATTTTACCACTTAAATATCTCCTCCAAAATTGTTATTTTACAAAATAGAAATCATGGAGCTCCAAGCTCCCAAAAGTATTCTAGGGATATGATTAGTATAAACTACTTGAGTTACTTACTAGGAATTGAAGCTCTGACATATTTGAACAAGATCTATTGATTTTCAGATAGCGCTGGCAAACCCATAATCTGTGTGGCATGACACTCAACCAATCTTTAGTGTAGGAAGAAAATGAGTTGGGGGCTAGAAGTTAAAAGAATGTGTGTGTGCTCATGCATGTGTAGCGTATACAGTATGTGTGTGCACATGTGTATATGTAGTCTGAGAATGTATTCGGTACTATGAGACACTTTGTATTAAGCACTATAAAAAGATCTCTTATTTTCTCACTATAAATTACTGACAAAATCTAACAAAAATATTTTTGGCCGGTAGGGATTGTGACTGAAATAATGTTGAAATTACTGGTCTTGTCTTTGATTGGCATTCACCAATTCAACAAACTAACAATGGACCAGATAAAGAACATAAACCACCCCCAAGCATCACTATGCCCTTTTCTGGACCAGTTTTACTTTTCTTTTCCAGCTGATTCTGTTAACTGAGGCAGAAAT
Organism: Homo sapiens; assembly: GCF_000001405.40. Lineage (NCBI taxonomy): Eukaryota > Metazoa > Chordata > Mammalia > Primates > Hominidae > Homo > Homo sapiens. Next base: position 166,283,977 of record NC_000005.10, on the reverse strand, counting down.
AAAATTTAGGTAAGAATTTCATTTTGAGTATCTTTATTAGTCCATCTGCAATTAAAAAAATGTTCAAGATTCACATAGGTAAAATGAAAGCACAGATTAAAAAATAAACAAATAAATGAAAACGAAAAGCATACCCATATACACTAAAAGCAAACCCACAGTGGAGTAACCTGGAAAGTCTCATTGTCCACAATGACTTTTGCAGCAGCAAAAAGCACTACAATTTGAAGTAAAAGAGTTCAAAGTGGCTTAGGCAAAGTGGACTTTACAGGTTGAAATAATTGGGAAAGGCAGAGGTGTTAGCTAGGAATCTAATACTGCCAGAACTGCCTCTTCCTCTGTGCTTCACCTCTGCTTCCCTTCTGGATGTCAAATTCTATCTCATCTTTGGACAATATAAGAGCCAGCTGGCTATCGTGATTGCGTGCCATCGTGAAAGATATGGGATAGAGTGAAAACATAGACAAATACCCTACAACTTACAAGAGATTGATTGAATATCCCTTTGTTTATAACCTGGATGTAGGTAAGTTTATTACATAAATGTGATGATACTAAACGTAAAGTTCTATTATCTGTACTTAATCTTTAACTATCATTCATATTAGTACATAAATGTCAAGCTTATCTCTTTCTTAATGACTCCATATTATGAATTTATAATATGTGTTCAATTCTGCCACTCACTGGCTATAAGACCTTGAGATGGTATTTAACATCTCTACCGCTTAGCTAGCTTCATTGTCTGAAAAATGGGGACAATTATAGTACCTATATTATTAGGATGTGGAGAAAATTAAGTGACATAACACATGTAAAGTGCTTACTATTTTGCTGACACATCGTAAAAACTCAATAAAGGTGACATATGATTAGTATTATTATTTGTAGTAGCATTAGTTTTATCAATTCCATATGAACACATAGTTTAATTTTTCATCAATATAAACAACACTATACAATATGTTCGTGCTTGAATATTTTCCCTCTTCCTTTAGGATTAATTTCTCTATGTTGAATTAATAGATCAAAACAGCTGCACATTTAAAATGTTGAAATGCATTCCTAGATGGCACTCCTGAAAGGTCATATTAGTTCATATGTCCATGTCTAGAGACATTTCTCCACACCCTTAACAAGATTAAATATTTAGATCATTACAGCGGAGTCTGGTCTAAATTCTACCTTTGGTTTCAAAATGAATATTCTTTATGGCTTGTTTTCCTATAATGTTACAAATATTTAAAACAGTAATAAAAATAAGGTGAAACAGTGTTTGGGGATCATAAAAAGAAGAGCTTTCCAACTGTGAATCCTACCGCTGTTGAGTCAGAGGGTGTCTGGGGAAGAGTTAAATAATACATCCGGGGTGAGCGGCCTTAGTTGCTAAGTAGAAAATTCAGGAAAAAAGCCAAGTATGTTTAATTTCCCACAATACATCACTTCAACCATCTGTGAGAACGATAATGTTCTATTTAAAGGAGAAACAATGACTGCAAAAGGGGGTTTAGGGGAATAACTTGATACATATTTCTTATTCTTCAATTAGCTCTTTGTTAATGGGTTGCTAAGACACGTAAAAATAACTAATTAAGCTCTGAGATACTAATGTTGAACAAAACAAAGATCCATAATCTAAAATGAAATAATATTCTCAATTATGACTATGTTATAACTTTATTTGTATGCACATGATGTTATAATCCCACCTTCATTTTCTTCATGGATGGACGGATAGATAAGAAAAATCCTATCATCAATTGATTTGCTTAACAAAATATTATTATAACTTAGACGAAAGACTTAAAAGAATAGCTTCCCCCCAAAAAGCAAAACTAAGTTGAAAGATTCCTAAAATGTTTGTTACAGAGGCTATCGCTCTTTTCTCTTTTTGTTTCCCCACAGATGAATATTCTTTTCAGATTTTTTTTATTCTTAGTGTATCTCTATATAACAAATCTCTAGATGTAGGCTCCTATCTATATGGCAAATATTTAAATTCCACCATCAACTTTATAAAAGTAGGACAATTTCCTAAAAAACTGCCTCCATGGCAGAAAGAGTTGACTATACAAAGAACAATACCATAAATTACGGGATCAAATATCTCAGCGAACACATGCTCCAATCGTATATTAAAATTCATCTCTATAGTGGTGCTACAAACAACATTCTTGGAAAAACCGCAAGACACTTCAAATTATGTGAAGCATTTGGTTTGCAAAGACAAGTTTTTAAAAAAATCCCTTGTAAAATTTCCTAGAAACACAATTTATGTCCTAACATGCTTAAAGTCTAGGGTTGTCCCAGGCAACAGCAGCTTTTGTTCAGCATTTCTGGCTTTGGATGGATTCATGGACCGTTTGCAATCAGTGTTGAAATGCAGGCTCTAGTGAAAACTGTGAGAAGCTGAGAAATGTTACATGCATAATTCATAGTTCCCTCATCACTGGATATATGTGTGTGTGAGGATTCAGGGTTACACTGCTATCCTAGTTCACTGAAAGTATGGATTTGGATATAGTCAACATTCTTTCACTCATGTTTTAAAAAAAATCCATACCTTTCATCAAAAGGAAGATACTCCAGAAAGCTTCCTCATTTTAACACTCCCAACTTCCTACCATGACCTACACAGACCTAAATTATTTGGTTCCTATGTACTGCTCCAACCTCATTATGTATTCCTGCCTCTCTCCTCCACCTTTCAGCTATACTGGCCTCCTGACAATTTCTAGAACACTCCAAGCTATTTTCTGACTCAAGACTTTTTGGACCATACTCTTCTTTCCAACTGTGGTAGGCAGACTAAGATGCCTGATGGCTTCAGTTCTTTGGTGTCTTTTTGCAGGTGACCTCCTTAAGGGACTTGCCATGTGGTTGGTCCTCTCCACAGGACAGCTCACAACATGGCAGCTGGCTTGTCTCCAAGCAAATAAGAAAGAACAATCAGTCTTTTTGTAGCCTAATCACAGAAATGACATTCCGTCACTTTGCTCTATTCTCTTCATTAGAAGAAGCAAATCACTCTAAGAGAGGGGACTCAAAAAGGGGCATGAATATCAGCAAGTGGGGATCATCAAGGGCCTCAGTAGAGCCTTCAGATACTACAGTCCAGGCCAACAGCATAAATGCAGCCTCCTAAGGGCCTGTGAGCCAAAGGCACCCAGCAAAGCTATATCTGGATTTGTGACCTGCAGAAACTGTAATAAATGTGTTGTTTTAAGCCAGTGAATTTTAAAGCAACTTGTTATGCAGCAATGGATAACTAATACACACCTAAAACTATTTGTCTCTTGGTCTTTGCATTTCGGACTTTTTCCTTTTCTTCTTTTCTCAGCTTCAAAGTCACCTCCTAGATGCTTTCTTTGATCACCCCCTGTGAAGTAGACTCCTTTGTCATCACCTTTTGTTCTCTATTAAAAACCTTGTTTGCCGTCAAACCATCCCTCTGAAGTCAAGCTGCTTCTCTCCAACGTCAAAGGGCAGTCTCCAACGTCCAGCTGCTTTTCCTCTTCTCCCCTCCTCTGCTCTCTGCCAGTCGGGTCAGGGGTTTTTATGGGTGCAGAAGTGGGGGTTGGGCAGGCTATGTGTGGTTTTGGAAAAGGCAACATTTGAGCAGGAAAACAGGAATGCACGTTCTCACTTTGGGCCACGGTTCCAGGCTTGAGTGGGGGGCTTCTTCACCAGGGACCCTACCCTTTTCTGCCTAGAATTTATCTGCCTCCTGTCCCTATCACTAACAGGGTTCTCAGGAGGATCAAATGAATGAATATATGTAAAATGTTTAGAACAGGGCCCGTTTGACAGTGAGTGTGATAGGTGTTGGCTGTAATTGATGCTGCTGCCCCTGCTGCTGTTTTTAGGCCGTAAGTAATAGAAAGAGATTTCTGTCTAATTAAAATAACAAGGGAAATGCACTGAACAAACACTGCAGAATGTCAGATAAACAAAGCAAAGTCTGAACAATCAGTTTTTGTCATGGGCAGGAATAAAGAACATTCTGGGGACCTAGGAAACCAGTGTTTGCCAACTCCTCGGAGCCTCCCTTGGACCAGGGGTCTAGAGATAGAGTATAGCACACTGGTTAAAAATATAGACTCCAGAATCTAAAGCCTGGGTTTTTACTCTTAATAAACTTTTTAAAATGTTAGAATCGCTTAGAAAAAAAATAAATAAAATAAAACCTTGTTTGATATCTTCCATGTTCTCACAAATCTCCACTGAAGAACTTACTCATGTAACCAAATACCACCTGTACCCCAATAACTTATGGAAAAATAAAATTTTAAAAAAACTACCAAGTGGGGATCTTTAGAGAAATGCAAATCAAAACCACAGTGAGAAACCATCTCATGCTAGTCAGAATGGCGATTATGGAAAAATCCAGAAACGACAGATGCTGGCAAGGTTGTGGAGTAAAAGGAACACTTTTACACTGTTGGTGGGAGCGTAAATTAGCTCAACCATTATGGAAGACAGTGTGGTGATTCCTCAAAAATCTAGAAGCAGAAATACCATTTGACCCAGCAATCCCATTAGTGGGTATATACCCAAAGGAATATAAATTATTTTATTATAAAGATACACGCATGTGTATGTTCATTGCAGCACTATTCACAACAGCAAAGACTTGGAATCAACCCAAACGCCCATCAACGGCAGACTGAATAAAGAAAATGTGATACATATACATCACGGAATACTATGCAGCCATAAAAAGGAATGAGATCATGTCCTTTGCCAGGACATGGACGGAGCTGGAAGCTGTTATCCTCAGCAAGCTAACGCAAGAATGGAAAACCAAACACAACATGTTCTCACTTCTAAGTGGGAGCTGAACAATGAAAACACTTGGACACATGTGGGAGAATAACACACACTGGGGCCTTTTGATTGGTTGGGGGTTGGGGGAGGGAGAGCATCAGGAAAAATAGCTAATGCATGCCGGGCTTAATACCTAGGTGATGAGTTGATCTGTGCGGCAAGCCACCATGGCACACATTTACCTATGTAACAAACCTGCACATCCTGCACATATACCCCGAGACTTAAAATAAAATTTGATGAAAAAGAAATACTGAGTGGGATAGTTTTTATTTGTTTATGGTAAAATTTAAACTGGAGAGAAGTTCTATGCTTCTCTTGTTCACAGTGTTTATCCTAGTACCTAGTACTCTAAGCGCTCAGTAAATACATACTAAATAGACTATTAAGAATGGGTACAATTCATCTGAAATTCAATTGATCAAATTAAAACTCCACAATATCTTACAAAATAAAAAGTATTTTATTCTAGAATAGTTTAGTTTTAAAAAATAATAATTATTTAATAATTATTAGTATATGTAGTATATTTGGGTTTTAAAATCACTATGGGAAAAAGACAGAATAAAGTAGGTATGTCGTAGATATGTAACAAATTTAATTTGAACATCTATTTCAGACTTGTCCTTAAACGATTTTACGCCTGTTTAAGATTTATGGTGGCTGACTGTATTTAATAGACAGCAAAGTCATCTTAGATAGATTCAAGAAACAAATAAAAGAGACAAGAAGTCCTTTTAGTGTTTCTGAAATATCTCATGTCTTTTCCAACTTGAGGTTTCTCATAGAATAGTATTACTGATTAGAATATAAGACATATAGTGCATGCATAAATTTTCCTACCATCATTTAGAGATCTGAATGTTTATCAAAATCACCAAATATTAAATTTTGATATATAAAGAAACATCAATAACTTTGAAGAGAGTTCAAGTTACAGATTTGTGAATCTAATAATTAAGTAGTGGTATTAAGATGAAAGAATTTTAATCTTCTATGACTTTCTGAAATATAGCATTATAAAGAGAGACTCATTCCATTTTTGACAATATCTTCAGCTAATGCCAAAGTAATCTGTAGTTTTTATAACATTTAAATTGAGTTGAAGACTCAAATGGCAAAAACAAATCATGTAGGACCATGATGAGATCGTTTTGAAAAATATACCGGAAACGCTGAAGTAGTCCATAATTATTTGATTCATTTCATGTGAGATGAGAAATGGTTTCAACGATAAAGTGAACTATGTAGGATAGGGTTGAGACACTTCTTAAAAAGAAAATTAAGCCCCTGGTGGGGTCAGACAGACTTGGACTCTTCCTCTTGCTTGGCTCTCTACCTATTATATGATTTCAGCAAGTTATTAAACATCCCTGAGTCACTATCCATAAAATGAAGAAAATGATAGTACCCTTCTCCGGATTGATGCAAAAATTAAATATGTTTCTACATATAAAGGCCAGCACTTAGCACAATGCCCATTACAAAATAAAGGCTCAGTAATATCAGCTACAGAATTTACAGAAATTGTTATCATTACTTTATTATTATCTAGTACCATTCCCAAAATATAGACAGGAAGGGAAAGGTTGTTTATATCATATATATCTCAACATCTCAATGATAAATAAAAATGAGAATTATATTAGCACATTGAGGAAGGGCCATTGATTGTTACTCATGAAAAATAAGGGGAGAATATTTGAAAGAACCTCTGTGAACCATAAACTATATATCTAAGTCACAAATGCTTTCCTACAATTTATTACTTATAAGAAAATGCATACATCCAGACTTATTTGGTACAGAGTGAATATTTAAAGAAATATTAGGAAAACAGTAGTGTTAGGTATCACATTTATTGTATCTTAGGGAAAAATAAACATGTCTGGGGTTAACATAGTGCTCTGTTTTGTCCTCTAAAGATAAAATGAATGATTGCGAAGGTAAATTTTCAACTTCACATCACACTAGTGGTAGATTTCATTACTGATCTATGACCATAAATTTGATGATTTCAGTACTAATTTCCACCAAAGTTACTATAAGTGCCAAAAACTTACCTTTGGTCTCTCCTACCTGAAAGACACAGAGTTTCTTCTAGTTACTTCCTAGGGCTATCCAAATAGAACTGCACACTGCTGCTTGTAGTTGTATATCAATGTTAGATCAAAAGGCAACTTGACTTCAAAAATCCCTTGGTTTCTACATGACATCTGACAAATTCTTTAATAAGGTATTGGAGATCATTCACTAACAGTCTGGTCTTCTTTTCCAATCTCACCCCCTACTGCTATTGCCATTAGATAACCTTTTATGTGGCCTCAATGAAGTATTGTAAATAATCTGAGCATGTGTTATGTTCTCATAGCCTTATGCTTTTGTACAAACCCTCATATCTGGAATGTCATCACTCAAAATTACCTTGATCTTCTACCTTTAATTTTCGGCTAAATTCTCCTCTCAATAAAATGCCTACTCACTTTATTCTTTACCTATCTTCCACTTCTAGAAAGAATTAATAGCTCCCTTTTTAGTGCATTTAATTTATATCACTAGCAGAGCACTATAGTCAGCTGTTGATATTTGACTCCTGTATTATTTTCTCTAAGAGACTGTGATCTTTGTGACAAAATCCGATATGTCATGCACGTATCTTATTTCAGGGCTAGCACATAGTTCGGTAACAAGAAAGTGTACCTACTACTTGATGTATTGAGTTGAAACAAATTTCATTACTATGCTCAAGCTTAGTCTTCAAATATTTCCTCACAAAGCTAGCACAGTGGCTTACACATGGGAGGAATCAAAAATATTAATGAATGGAAGAATGAATAACTCCATTTCCTGTGGGAAGTAAAACAGAGAGACAAAGAGAGGCACCCTGACTTGACCTCTTCCACAGAGATGTATCCATGGATATGTATATCTTACTTAGAAGTAACAGTAATGTGATTGTCATAGGAAACTTCTGACTCATGATGAATAGAGTTGCAATTATATTCCCTCCTGATTTAACAATGTTTTTTATTTTAAATAAGACCTATCAGCATCAACAACTCAAACACAGTTATGACTGTAACTTCATGAATGATAGGCTTTTATTGGCAAAACTGTGATGAGCCAAGTTGACTCAGTTGACTGGGTGCAGCTACTCTTAAAACAGCGACCAGAGTTTTGTAAATTTTCTTAAGATTTTGAATTATTTTTTACTCTACACTAAGCATGAAAAAAAGATTCAATGCACAGAATGTCAAACAACAGAAATGTCAGGAAAGTAGAAAATTTCAGAAACAAACATCCTATTTTAAGGCAAAAAGGTTTGGAAATGAGAGCCTCCAAGTTTAAATGGTTTGTTTCCATGATAAGCATAATTTTAAAGGGCAAGGTAAAGTATATGGAGAAAGTAGAGAGTGCCAGATGGACACAATCAGCACTGATGCTATGTAGAGACGCATGTGACTCAGTAATTTCGGGCGGCTATAACACAATACTATAAACTGGATGGCTTATAAATAACATAAATTTATTTTTCACAGTTCTGGAGCCTGGAAAGTCCAAGATCAGGGTAGCATCATGGTTAGGTTCTCATGAGGGTCCTTTTATGAATTGCAGACTGATGGCTGGCTTCTCCCTGTGAGGAGGTGGATGGGAAAAGAGATCTTTCCTGGGCCTCTTTATAAGACACTAATCCTGTTCATGAAGGCTCCACTCTTACTACTTAATCACCTCCCAAAGGACCCACCTGCTAATAACATCATCTTGGGGGTTAAGATTTCAACATATTAGTTGTGGAGGACACAAATTTTTATTCCACTGCAGAATGTACGTATATATATATATCTGTATATATGTATGTATACATACAATTAGATGCATGGCAAGGAGAAAAAAACTTTTGATTGCACGATGTACACTTAAATTCCACACACCCATATTTTTCTGAGCCAAGAGATGATGTTAGTAAAGGCATTAGTTTTCCAAAAAGTTAAGAATTGTATCAAGGATAAAAGAAACAGCCCGGCACGGTGGCTCACACCTGTAATCCCAGCACTTTGGGAGGACGAGGCGGGTAGATCACGAGGTCAGGAGATCGAGACCCTCCTGGCTAACACGGTGAAACCCCGTCTCTACTACAAGTACAAAAAAATTAGCCGGGCATGGTGGCGGGCGCCTGTAGTCCCAGCTACTCGGGAGGCTGAGGCAGGAGAATGGCGTGAACCTGGGAGGCGGAGCTTGCAGTGAGCCGATATTGCGCCACTGCACTCCAGCCTGTTTGGGGGCATAAACAAAGATAATATTATTTTTCAGTGTTATGGGTGTGAATGTCCCCTTCAAAACTCATGTTGAAACTTAATCCCCAATGTGACAGTATCAAGAGGTGGCGCATTTAAAAGGTGATTGGATCATGAGCGCTCTGCTCTCATAAGAGGATTCATTCATTCATAAATTAATGGATTAATGGGTTAATGGAAGATTAATGAGTTATTATGGGAGGCGACATGTTGACTTTATAAGAAGAGAGAACACTGAGCTGGCATGTCAGCATGCTCAATCCCCTCACCATATGATGCCCTGTGCTGCCTTGGGATGCCACAGAATCTGCACCAGCAAGAAGGCTCTCACCAGATATGGCTCCTCAACCTGGAACTTCTCGGCCTATATAAGTACAAGAAATACATTCCTTTTTTAAGAAATATAAATTACCCGATTTCAGGTATTCTGTTATAAGCAACAGAAAACAGACCAATGTATTCAGGAAGAATCAGCTTGGTATAATCGCCATAAGAAAGGACTCACAGTAAATGTAAAACTATCAAGAAGAATTGATGAAGAATTTTCCAGAAAAGTCAGCGGAACATGCTGAGTAAGAAGGCTTTTGCATGTAACAAGCACTTATTTTAAAATACCATTTTTGAAAATGCATGGCTGTTGAACAGCTACATTACTAAGGAAAAAAATTCAGATCCTAGTTATAAAGCAAACAAATTATTAGAGTCTCACCTAGGACTATCAATAAAGACTACCATCGGGTTAGAAGAGCAGGGGATTATTGCAAAAAAGAGAGTCAGGATGGAAATTTTCTATCCTAGCATGTATCATGCAAAGAATCTCAGAAACAGGCAAATTTAATGACAGTGACAATGCTTGGGATGGATGAGCTCAGCTTTCACTCTTCTTTGCTGGTGTCTTAGCTGGGTGTCCTGTCCCAGATGCTGCCTGTCTGTCTGTCACATGTCTTATTAATAACCTCCCCCCACCCTCTAACCACACATTTTTGTCTATACTCAAGAAATAACTAGTGTTCTTCCAGTGGTCGGCTCTAGACAAATTTGTGTTGGTCATTTTTATTGACTAGGATCCACAAAAATTACAGCTACTCTTTTCCCTAATTTTATTCAGCTGATCTTGATGTCTTTTACCAAGTTTACTGTAACATGGTTTTGATTAATTCTTTCATATTGCTCATTGATAAAGCAAAATGAAAAAATAAAGTATACTCATAAACAGATCAACCTTACTCTTTCCACAACTGTGACTTTTCTTGAATGAACCTCTTCCCTTCCATTGTTTCCAACAGGAATTCAATGAGAAACATGAGATATGATCCCCAGGAGAAACAGATTCTTATATAACACTAAGAACATTTTAAAAGCCTGTGCAGTCACAAAGAGAGGATTCTTCTCTCTAAACCAAATTAGCCAAGAAGAGTAAAAGAATAAAGGAAGAATTATTTCCTTTTGAAAATGCACAAAACTCAGGTGATGCACATCCCATTGTTTTATCCAGTTCAGCTAGCTAGACACCCTTTTTTTCTAAAATAAGAAACAGAAAAATTCTGCTTACTGAAAAGAAAGCATTTGTTGTCATTTACATTATAGCAGATGCTCTGACTTACTGAACACAGCGAGGCACTTAACCTTTTCTTGTCCTGATCTACTCAAGAAAGTATCCGTTTATGGTTGACAATGGCCATTATTAGTAATGATTTCAAGTGAAGACCTTTAATTATTTTATCTTAGAACTGATGTACAATATACACGTGTCTACAGAAAAAACAAAAATATACTCCAAAAACATACATAAGATTTGGTTTCAAAACAGCCTGATTTTTTGGTAATATCAGCAATTAAAGTCTCTGAAAGGAATACAACTTCAGTTATGATCCACAACTCTCCACAGGATGAAAGCATAACAAGTGAAGCACCCAATAAAATAGAATGCCAATTCTAAAAGAAAATAATAACCAGCAATTGGACCCTGAAGTTGGCAAATGATCTATTTTATCAAGAGACATTACCATGTAAAGTAGAAATTAGTACTGCTATGGTGTGAATGTTTGTGTCATCCCAGAGTTCATGTGTTAAAATCCTACTCCCAAACTAATTGTATTAAGGGGTGGAGTCTTTGGGAGGTGATTAGATCATGAGGGCAGAATTCTCATGAATAGATTAATACCTTTGTAAAAAACGGCCCCAGAGAGCTGTCTTGCCCCTTCCAAAGCAAGAAGTCACCATCTATGAGAAAGAGGGTACTTTACCAGACACCAGATCTGCGGCCACCTTGATCTTGAACTTCCTAGCCTCTGGAACTGTGGAATAAATTTTTGGTGTTTATGAGCTACTCAGATTCAAGTATTTTGTTATAGCAATTTGAATGGACTAAGATACAAATAGATACTGCAGTCTTCTCTCAAATGTCGATTTGAGTAATGTCTACACCTAGTCTCATAACTTTAGGTTCACATCAAGGTAATTCTTTCCATATGTTCTTATCCTCTGCTTCTCTTTTTGAAGGCACTCCTTCTGTCTTCCTATGGAGATAATTATGTTGATAAACCAGGAATAAGTTTCCTCTATGCTAATGCTTCTGAAACTTTAGAATGCATTGGAGTTACCTGGGAACCTTGTTAAAATGCAGATTCTGATTCTCAGGTCTAGGCTGGAGATAATGATTCTGCATTTCTAATTAACTCCCAGGTGAGACTGTTGCTGCTTGTCCATGGACCATTCTTTGAGTAGCATGATCCTGCGTGACTTGGTGTAGGAGAAATGCAGTATTCCATAGAGAAAATTACTAGCTTTGTATCTTACTGTAATTACAATATGAAACAAAGGGAACTTCAGTTATTATGATTCACAGACCCAGGAGAAAAAAGAAGTCACAGCAAAGTGGACAAATACTTCGCATTTCTTGTATGTGAAAGTTTTAAAACAAATGTATTTCTCCCAGTATACTTTTGTTATCCATATAATAGGGACAAAAATAATATCTACATTACAATATCATGAGATGATTAAGTGAGATACTGCCTTGAAGGCACTTATCATAGTTACTTGCACATAAAGGTTGAATATTCATTTACTACTGATGTTATTAGCAATTTTGTTAATGTAACTATCACACTATCATCAAAATAGAGTATTAAAGACCACATTGGGATTCCAATCCAGTGCATTCTTTACACACAAGACAACTGAAGCCCCAGAAGTGAAAGTGACTTTTCTTTGCTATTTTCCTTATTTTTGCCCTCAAATACTCTCTCATCCAAGACTTTTCTCAGGTTATTTAACAATCAGTAGCAGAAGTAAAATGTGAATCTAATCCTTTTTAACATAAGTAATTAATTCACTCACTTGTTCGTCAACCATTTGAGTGTCAACTGCCTGTCAGTTACTATGCGAACACAAAACGAGAACAGAAGATAACCTGTCTTCAAGGAGTATCCAAGAACTGTTTTCACCTAGAGAGTCATTTAAATAATTATGCATAAAATTGCTCTAATACAGAAAAAAATGCTACATTGGAGGAGCACCAGGAATACGAATGGAAGATGATAGAGAATAATAGAAAATTAGGAGTTTGCTTGGTAAGCATGGATGAGGAAGAGGTTTTAGGCAAAAGGATGAGGTTGTGCCAGGACAAAGGCCAAGCTGTAACACTGGTAGGAGCAGATATGCAGGCAGCCACTCTATCACTAAGGGTTCTGCACAACAAAAATGTAGATGAGATTTCCTCATAAGGCAGAAGTACTGAGTTGGCCACTATGAGACCCGATCCTCTGGTAAGTTTTGTTTCCCATGTACAATGTTTAAAACTTTTTGAATTAGTTGTCAACATTTAACAATTGAGACATTTCACATGAGTATCCAGCTTTTCAGCTTCCCTTGAAAATTCAGAAGATCATATCACACTGGGCATGCTGTTTCATGTAGCAGAGCTTAATTAGAACTGGGTGATGGTTGCCCCTTTTAAATGGCTTATCTGTTTTCCAGACTTATCTCCCTATTGATGTACACCTGACTTCTTCAGGCCTTTGAGATTTATGACCAGGCAGCTCATATCATTGAACAGCATTGAACTGTTCAGAATTCAAGCTTCTTGGCCAGTGGATGATATACCGAAGTGATAGATTTTCTGAATACTTCCTCTATTGAGTAAGTTAGTAGTTGATACCAAGAAGGTGCATTTTGGATGTGAAGACTTCTGCTGATTATTGACTAATCTCTCAGAGGCCAAAGTCATAAGCTGAATCGCTCTGGGCACAAGTCAGCATCCTTGATCCATGCCTATAAGCACAAATCAGGAATTACCATTAAGCCATCATCCATAATAAAAATAAATTTCAAAATAAAATATTCAAAGCAAGTCAGTTGTTTATTATTCATGTTAATATTCAAATCTCTACATAAATAAAAAAGTAAACAGAATACATAAAGATAACCCCTGAATAAAACATATACTTTAAAATGGACTTAGATGGCTGGGTGTGGTGGTTCACACTTGTAATCCCAGCATGTTGGGAAGATGAGGTGGACAGATCAGTTGAGGTCAGGAGTTTGAGACCAGCCTGGCCAACATGGTGAAACCCTGTCTCTACTAAAAAAAAATACAACAATTAGCTGGGTATGGTGGTGCACATCTGTAATCCCAACTACTTGGGAGGCTGAGGCAGGAGAATTGCTTGAATCCAGAAGGCAAAGGTTGCAGTGAGCTGAGATTGCACCAGTGCACTCCAGCCTTGGTGACAGAACAGCACTCATTCTCAAAAAAAAAAAAAAAAAAAAAAAAAAAAAGGCATAGAAAAAGGAGCCCCAAATGTACATCGATATGACAAACATAGCTTTTTAAAAAGATAATTCCATATACTAAATGCTGAAACATTTGCAGAATGAAAAAAAAAATACATCTTTTGGCCAGGCACGGTGGCTCACGCCTGTAATTCCAGCACTTTGGGAGGCTGAGGCAGGTGGATTTCTTGAGCCCAAGAGTTGGAGACCAGACAGAGCAACATGGCAAAACCTCATCTCTACATCTAAATACAGAAATTAGCTGGGCATGGTGGCTCATGCCTGTAATCCCAGCTACTTTGGAGGCTGAGGTGGGAGGATTGCTTGAGCCTGGGAGTCTGAGGTTGTGGTGAGCCAAGACTGACCCACTGCACTCCAGCCTGGGCAATAAAGTGAGACTCTGTCTAAAAAAAAAAAAAGCCTTCCAAATATCCAAATACTTATGTGACTGTCCGTAATCTTGAAGACAATTCTCCCAACTACTTCAATTTTATGAAATCATCAAGTTCCACTAAGATATTGGAAAGCAGAAGGGGGCATTTTACTGATGTTATTTATTTGAATGTTCAAAATGCATTTATGTATTCATTTAGTATTTTAGAAGAAAGGCAACTACTTGTGTGTTTTTTGAAGGCATAATATATATGTATTTAACTCTGGTTTTGGAAAAATCTAAAAAGATATTAATGGGATTATTTCTAGTACTTCTTGGCATAGAATAAATGAGGATGATATTTACGCTTTGGGGCAATAGAGTAACAGATTGCTGAAACTAAGTATGAACTAAGTATGATAGTCATGGAGAACTGTCAATATTATTTTTGTTTGTTTTTTGCTTTTTAGAGGGTGAATAAATTGTCTGTTACTTTCTTTTTTTTATTATTTATTTATTTATTTATTTATTTATTTATTTATTTATTTATTTATTTTTTTGAGACGGAGTCTCGCTCTGTCGCCCAGGCTGGAGTGCAGTGGCGGGATCTCGGCTCACTGCAAGCTCCGCCTCCCGGGTTCACGCCATTCTCCTGCCTCAGCCTCCCAAGTAGCTGGGACTACAGGCGCCCGCCACTACGCCCGGCTAATTTTTTGTATTTTTAGTAGAGACGGGGTTTCAGCGTTTTAGCCGGGATGGTCTCGATCTCCTGACCTCGTGATCCGCCCGCCTCGGCCTCCCAAAGTGCTGGGATTACAGGCGTGAGCCACCGCGCCCGGCCTGTCTGTTACTTTCTATTAGTTACACATATCTTTAAAAAACCTTTACTTTTTGGTGGTAGTTTTTGATTGACATTTTAGAATGCTATTGCCATGGAAAAGAATGATGACCTTCAGAAGCAGCATATGTGGTATTTATTAGTACATAAACCTAAGCATCTACATTATTTCTTTACAACATTGTTGAGGTATAACTGACAAAGCACAAAACTATGCGTTTTAGTGCAATTAAAAGATTTTTAGTAAAGTTACTGAGTTTTGCAACCATCATTGTGATCCAATTTTAGAATATTTTCATCACCCTGATAAAATCCTCGAGCCCATTTATAGTTAATCCTCATTTCCACTCTCAGACTAGGCAACCACTAATCTATTCTCTGTGTCTTCAGATTTGCCTCCTCTGGACATTTCATATAGATGGACACATGCAGTATGTGGTCTTTTTTCTGACTTCTTTCACTTAGCATAATGTTTCTGAGTTTCATTCATTTTGTATGATGTATGAGTATTTTATTCTTTTTTATGGTATGGATATACCATATTTTTAAAATTTATTTACCAGAGTAAGCATCTATTCTATTTTTTCATTTAATTCACATATTTAAACAGCTATTTTGTTGGCTCCACCTAAAGTTTTTCAGATATCAAGAATGACAGCCTTAATATTTCCCTGCTCTTAGAGAGGAATGTGAAACGCACTTCTGGATCTTATTTTACCTCTAAGTTGGCTGGGTTCTGCTGACTTTGCATTCCGTAAACTAAACTATTTGCTAATTAACCAAATATAGTATAATTTAATTGTGACCCCAAATTTCATTAAAGTTTTGCAGGACACAAATAACGATTTTTTTTATACACGGTCACACAAGCAGGGCCAACAGCATAAGCCACAGGGAAGAGATTTGGGGAACAAATTGCAAATGGAAAAATCCACTAATAAAAAGAGTATGTTTAAAGATATTCCACTTTTCTAGCAGAGGTCAGAAGGAGCTGTTTTGTTCAGCAAAGCTTTAATGCTTCATGAACACACGGAAAGCTAATCTCTGGCTAGTTAGAAATGCCGAGTTCATGCAATGGCAAAAAGAAATGTTATACCACTTATGGATTTGTGGGGAGAAAAATAAGAAAAAATATTACGAGATATGTTGCTCTATATGCTAACAGGTTTTGGAAGAAGTTTCATTCTGCTTGTAATCAAAATGCTGATATTGGCTGACATATACTCAGAATGTGTAAACAGAAAAGAGAGAAGCAAGAGGAGGTGTGGAAGATTAAGCAGAGTATTGTATAATTTATGAGCCCCTGGAAAATGATAGAGTATAACAGAAAACAACTGAGACTCATTATCTGTGCATTACATAGAATACAGAAAGTTCCAGACTAGCACTCAAATATATCTTCATTATAAGCCGAATATACCTAATACGCAACTTATTTTTTTCCTAGTAATCATATATTTTATAAATTTAATATTAGAAAAAAAGTTTTTCTATATATTCTGCTCTTTCCATATAATTTTGTTTTAAAGCAAAGGAAACCATGGTTAAAAAGAAGTCAACACCAAAATCTTGATTCTTCCTTGACTTGTTTTCACTGAAGTTTTACACCAATGGTTTTATTTTCTCTGGGCCAAATCTAAGTTCTTAACATTTGTAAGTAGTAAAAGCTCTGCTTCATTAAACAAAGTCTTTGTAATACAAAATGTCTCTATGCCATAGGTTGAGGGCAGTACTTTTGTCATGATACTCTCTAATAAATTGCTAGAGAGAAAAATGGAATTTCGAGGAAGTAAAATAACAGCATCATTTCATGGATGTTTGGAAATATTTTATTTCTCTTAGCAGTTACTTTGCCTTGGGATTAAGAGTTCTGATACTTTATTTCTAAAGCTATATAATCAATTTTCTTGTGTTAGAAGAAAAATTAATTATATTATCTACAAGGCTCCTTCTTAATTTTGATTCTATTTTTATTCCAGATTCCTTCTAATGTGGTAAATGTTACTACTAGTTGCTGGTTTTCATTGACTCACTCTAGAGATTCTTGGTATGGAAACCTCTTACTACATTTCTCAAAATGGTCCAGTAAGACCAAGTAGCTTTCAGCAATGTTAGTATGTATATTATTTCTAGATGCTATTCCTTCATTCAACTACTTTGAAATTAATCAATTCATCCAGTCATTTCACAAATATGTATTGAACACTGGCTATGTTACATGCCAGGCACTATTATATGCATGGGGATGGGGTAGAGAACTAAGGGGAAAGTGGTATTTCTGTCTCATGGAGATTGCACTCTAGTGGGAGTACAACCAACATGGTATAGGCAGGTAAAATAAACAGAATGTTAAAGAGGCACTAGGGATGAGAGAAATACATAAATCAGGGAAAGGGAATGGAAAACGTTGGGGTAAAATGAAATGTTTTATAAGGAGGCCTAGAGAGGGGTTACTAAGAATGTGAGGAAGTTGGGCTTTGGCAGTATCTGGAGGGAAAACATTACATGAAAGAGATCGTGAAGGCTCTGAAGCAGAAATATGATTAATAAATTCAAACTATATCCATAATCCAACCACATCTCACCACCTACTGTATTACCACCTTGAATTGTCCAGCAACATCATTCTCCTCAATTACTGCAAAACTTCCCACCTGGTCTCTATTTATTCAATGCTGAGATCACATTAGCTACTTGGCTAAAGGGAAGAAGTACAGAGACCAGCCAGGACCCAGAACATAGGGGAAGCTGCTTGATGAAATTGTTAGTTTGGTGCAAAAGTAATTGCAGTTTTTGTCATGAAAAGTAATGAATATATAAAGAAACAGGAGGAGATGGAATAAGGAGCTCAGCTTTGGATGTAGCTCAGCTAAGTGTCTTCAATACCCATCAGACATCCAGGTGGAGATGCACATTGACAATTGATTAAAAGCATACAGAGTTTAGTGCAGATATTTGAATGGAAAAATTATGCCGGGAATAATCTGTTTATAGACAGAATTTGAAGCCATGAGAGTAGGTGGATTATCTTGGGAATCACTGTAGATGGAAAAGAATTGAGCTCCCAGGGCTGAGCCTTGGAGCAATTCAAAAGGTAGAGGTCAGAGAAATGAGAAAACACTTACAAAGAAACTGACAAGGAGTTATGATAAATATTAAAAGAAAAGCCAGGCAAGTGTGGGGCCTTGGAACCCATAAGAAGACAGACTTGTAAGCTTTGTTTGCATTTCTGACTCAGTCGTCACCACCCTTATGGTGCTGAGCTCAGGAAATGGGGCCACTTATTCCTTAGCTGCCCAAGCCAATAGTATGACTTTGTTCTTTAACTTCCTAATCATTCACGTTCAATCACCTTGTCCTTTCTATTCAACTGCTTAAGTGTTTCTCAACTTTGTTCCCTTTTCTTCATTTCCCTGTCAGCGTCCTAGTTCAGAATACCATCATCTAGGACTACGATAACGAAAGAGTCTCCCAGCCTTACCAGCACCCACATCCTGCTAGTCTTTTTTTCCCTTAATTCTGTCCTCCACAGGATGATCAGAGTGATCTTTCTGAAAGGTAAATCTAACAAAGAAGAAGCACTTCAATCACTTTCCATTGTCTTCAAAATCAAGTCTAAACTCAAGGGCTATTCTCTAGCCTCATGTCTTTCTTTATTGACCTCATACACTCTGGCCATTTAATCCAGCTTTTGATTCCTTCAAGGGATCAGCTCTGGCCTTGAGAATCTACACAGTTGTTCCTGTGGAATGGAACTCCCATCTTCCCAGCTTTACCTAGCTTAGTCCTACTCACATTCTAGGTCTCAGTTTAAATGGTATTTTTCTTGGGAATCCATCTGTGGCACTCCTTATCTGGGATTTTTGGCTGTCTTCTGAGCTCCTCACTTTAGCAATAATTATGCTGATTTTTCACCATTTATTAATTAGTTTGTATCTCTACTATTCTAACCATTAGCAGTGTCTTTCTTGGTTTGCTTTGTTTCCCAGAATATTGTCTGAAACACCGCAGCATTCAATAACTAGTTGCTTAATAAATGAATAGATAAAATCTTACCTGCTCTTGCCCTCACCTGAATAACGTAACTTCCAGTCTCCGGCAAAGTCCTCTTCTCTTTGTGCTTACTCAAGTACTTCTGGGAGTCCTAAAGGGATATTTCTTACGTACACACAAAAAAATCTACCCCCATAAGGTAGACTTCGTCCACGTGGACACCGGGTCCCCAAGCATTTATCATCTCATCCTGGCATCTCATTTCTACCATGTTCTGCTGATTCCTCCATAGTCATGTAATGACAGAGGTGCTCTAGAACTATCATAGTGCCTGAGTGCTCTAGGTGCCCAGTTGAATTGAGTGAAATATTCATCCCTCCCATTCTGGGTCACATGTTATCATAACTGGACCTAAGTGGAATTGCCTTTGTTCTGTGTTACTTCAACACCATTGTGTAAACAGTTCTTTCTGTTCCTACCTAAAGCTTCTCTTTAAATGGGGTTCAAACTTAGTTCTCAGGGCCTAAGCTGAGGAACAAACTTCATACCATTCTCTTCATTGCCTTTTCTTTTTTTTTTTTAAGTCTCTAGAAACCCACAAGTAAAAACTTCGACCCACATGCTCCCTGTACACCCTCCCAATCCCCACTAAATGAAAACCAAATCATAAATGTTGAGGTCTAGGGGACTGCTGACTATTCTAAAACTAAAACCAGGCTAAACCAGAAAATTATTTCTACTACCTCTCCTCTATAAATCTTCAGAACAGTATAATTAGATTAAGTGGGGGCATTGCGGATACAAAGCTTCGCTCAGGGTTAAACACAGAATAGGCATTGAATAATTGTTAACTTATAACTATAGCATATGTTAGCTACAAAATATTTTTAAAATAAGAATATTAATCACACTCTTGTTGCCTAGAAAGGCTTCTACTAGTACTCAACTCCTGCTATACCAGATTCTTGGAAATGTTTCTCACACTGAGTGATGCCTCACACTGACTTATCATCACTGTCTTCCTGTCCATGGGACTGTGCTTCACCTGGTTCCCCAAACTTGGAACCCTATAATGATTTCTGTATTTGTTCTGCTTTATAACAAATCCACACCAAATCTTACTGACACCTACAGCAGGAAGCATTTCTTGACCTTTTGTCTTCATTTTCGTTTCTTCTTCTCTTACATGTTGAACCGTTTGGAATTGTAGATTTTCACTACTGGCCTCCCCTCTTCTAATGGCAACAGATTGTAGGAAAACACAGTGATAGTCTCACTAGCACTTAGGGTCTCCTTATCACATTTACTGAAAGATACGATTTTAAACAAGTGTTTTGGCCTGCATTTTTCTTTTATTAAACTGTTTCCACTACCTCTTTGAAATTGTAATTATTTAATTTCCTTCAACCCAAACCTTTCTAAAGATTTTCTTGATTGCTTTTAGCCCAATATAATCTTTAATTCTCTTCTCATCTGAAATACCAGCTAGCATACCATCTTGTCATATGTTACATATCAATGTTTCTTCTCCCATGAATTGACTTCTTGTGTTTCAAAATTTATTGCAACAAACTCAAAAGAAGTGAAACTTTTATTTATTTTACGTGAGTCCCACCACAAGCTCTAGCAGAGTGCTAAGCAGAGTCTGTGGTTAATGTTTTTTTATTGATGAATAGATCGAGGAATATAAAAAATCCAAAGATCAATATGCAATTAAGCATTATCATCTTTATTAAGCGTAGTACTGTGCTATTAAAAGGCTGCAGAACCTCTTCAGTGCATGGTTGACTTCTCAGACTTAGATGCAATTTCTTTTATTAAAATATTTAGCCTGGTATGCAAGTCAGGAAAAATAATTCCCAAATCCCTCCATGTGTAAATATAATTTGCATGGAGCTGGCTTTGCAGATTATCATCATATTTCTTATTAGATCCACTTTCTGATCACTTTAAAATACGTTTTATTTTAGTTGTCCTGTTGGAAAATTTCCTAATTAGACTGATTTTCTTTAGTGGAAATTTTGACTACTATAAAGTTCATAATAAACACTCAGAGAATATTTAACCCCAGGCCTAATGAATAAGTTGTGACCTAGTGCCAGCTTCTAAAGACCACTTTGTTTTATCACAAATCTCTAAGGCTATTTATCATTTGAAGGTAGAAGGTAAAACAAAGAGAAGTTCCTGATTTGCTGTAAAATACTTCTAGAGTTGGCAGAATGGCCCTCCAGTGAGGAGCCACCAGGGCCTGCCAATCTTAAAGTGGGTCTCGAGAGCCTATTGAAGTGCTGGCTTAAAGCTTTGAACATAATATTTATTACCACAGAGTGTCTTCTAACTGCACTTCAACTCTAATACTATATAATGCCAAGTTTCAACTGTTGGCTAGCTTGCTGCTATCATAGCGTCAGCATTCGCATATTTCTATTTGATTAACAATAATAGAAAATGTACAGTAATAGTCAATTTCCATATAAGCCTTTGGTTGCTTCTCATACCTGGACTGTAACTAGGGGGCATTTATTGCTCATTTGTTTACCTGGACCCCATTTATGGTATTTATTTTCAAGGATGAATTGCTTTTGGTCATTGTTTTTAATCTATATCAAACACTCATGCCACTTCCATTTCAGGGTCACAAAGAA
Organism: Homo sapiens; assembly: GCF_000001405.40. NCBI lineage: Eukaryota > Metazoa > Chordata > Mammalia > Primates > Hominidae > Homo > Homo sapiens. The sequence goes on along the minus strand of NC_000005.10, from coordinate 166,262,230 downwards.
TCACTTATTTTTCCAGAATCTTTGACTGTTTTGAGATTTCCTAAGGCGAACATGTTTTTATACACAAAAAAATTTATGAATGGAGAGGACAGATATGATGTATGGCAGCCCATCCATTTACTTAGATGAATCTATATGCTAGGCTGCTTTAAAGAGCAACAAGATGATGGTGTGCAATATAGCAAAAATATAAAGTATTTAATATCATTCAATGTTATTAAGGTGCTATTTCAAGATGTACAAAATATGAACCAAGGCTTAATTGTCTGCCCACAATTAAGTGTGTGTATTTGTGTGTGTATATATGCACGTATGTGGGTTTTTTGTTTTTTTTTTTTCTTAACATGCAGTTGAGTTTCTTGGTTCATCCCTTATCTCAGGTTACGGACCAGAGACAAACCTCATTGTCTGATGTTCTTGTGTTATACTGCTTTCTAGGGGTATGGCTCTTATCTCTATTTCTGGAATACCTTGGAAGAATATTGCCTTGAGAATGTTGTTCATAAGGGTTCTAAGTTTTCAGAATGCTTTCCTGGTTGACTAAGTCAGTGACACACAAAATGAGACCAGGCTTCTATAGTCACACTTATGACAAAGGGCATTTAGACTGAAATCCTGATGCTGCTGCCCCGTCATGAAAGCTACTGTTCATTTCAGTATCCCTACAACTGCCTACACTGTGAAAGTGTCCTGCTAGATCAGCTGTGGCGATTTGCCATTTATGTAGCCCATCTCTTAAATTGAAAGCTAATGGGCACGACGTGTCTTCGAGGAGAGACTGCACTACATATGCCTTGGGATATTCATGTCAACATTAAATGTGAAGGCTAGTGGGCACTTGAATGTTTCTAAATAAATTTACTTTTTTAAATTTAATGAAACCTAAAAGATTTCTTACAATTTTAGAATCCATTCTTCAAATTGAGTGGTATTTATGGACAATAATTGGTGACTGTGGCTATACCTGTCCCTGTCGTATCATGATATACAATGTCATGATTCTTGGTCTTTGCCTGCACACTTCTATAACTTTCAGCCTTCTTATCACCCCATGCTTCTCAGGTTGAAGTAAGGTGGTATGAGGAATGAATGGTAGACTGAGTAACTCCTAAAAACAAATGTTGTTGCTTCATATTTTACTCTTGCAATTCTCTTTCATACGTTTGTGGTTGTTGGAATATTTTTAAGACTTTATGTAGCAAGATAATGCTTGACATGTATATTTTACCCTCTATTTTCTTATATTGTATGACCATTTCCCCGTTTCATCAGCTAGGTCTTTTACGCCATAGCTTCAAGAGACATAACACCACCTCAGGAAGTAGAAGAAAGCTAGGTGGAAATTCCTGCCTTTGAGGTTCAAAAGTCCAGGCCTTAGAGGACTCAGATGAAATGCAAGGTAGGGCCACCCATTCTGGACAGTACTTGATGTGAAACAGTGACTTGCCTTTTCCGGAGTTTGTGGGAAACAGGGGGAAGTAAAGGATGCTAAGAGTGAATGGATATATGTGCCTGAGAAAGGGAGCCCTGTGGCTTGATCTGTGAACTGAGCTCCAAGTTAAGGAGAGATGAGAGGAGTGTCCCTTGGAAGATGGTGGAATCTGATACTGGAGGGAAACTCTGCTTTGCTTCCTGGATCGAGTCCCAGGAGAGTTGGTGAGATGCCAGAAATAATATGGCAGTACAGAGTACTGAGATAAGGGGAACCCAAAAGAACCTCACGGCCTTCCTTTGACCAATGTGGTAAAAGAGTAACGTTTACATGGCTATCAAGGACCAGATCCAGAAGAACCCTCAAAGATGGAATTGAAAACTGACTCAGCATGGACAACGGATATGCAAACTCTATGAATGAGAGACATGTGACAATGCTGAGAGTAAGAAGTCCTTGCTCACAGCCCTGGAAATCCTACAACCATCACACAGTCTTCCCTAAAGGTCTAGAAAAGCTTCTGAGAATTTATACCTAGTCCATGGAGGAAGGTGGAGAAAAATGAGGAGTCAACTGAGTTTAAACCTAGGTAAGACCATAGATTAAAACTTAAGCTAGCCTCTTGAAAAATAAATAATGCTATATTTGCTACCCATCTGAGGAGTTAGGTTGCAATCCATACCAGATACATATATAAGAATTAATTTTTAAATAATCACATTTCTGTAGAATGCACCGTATCATTATTTAGATGATATTTACACATGGGCAATGAGACAGAGAGGAATAATCTATAGAAATAAGTTGGCTATCTGCCATGGGTAAAATAGCATACTAGGTGTCTCACAAATATTTAGTATTCTTATGAACCACACATACACATTTCACAGGATAGAGAACCAAGGCATAAAGAGTGATTAAAGGGCGAGAAAGCTAGGATTTAGTGTTATGCTCATATATATTTGGAGACTCTCAGCTCCTTTTTATTTACCACTTAACAAAGACAGGTTAATTGAAATAGTCAGATAATGGTTGGAGATTAAAAAAAAAACCCACTAGCTTTTTCTCCAATATCACGAAGAAAATTGCTGAGGTTTCCCACTTATCTTTAAATGTGCACATAAAATATATTGATATCTAAATAAAAAAAATTTCTCCATTATCATACTAAGAAATGTCTTAAAGGATCATTAAATCTTGCCTTTAAAAACTGACCACAACTTTTTGATTCTAAATGTATTTAATAAGAGGATTAACGGGCAGAGAAATTTTTTTTTTTAAAGTGAATATGAAAATAATTACAGAAATGGCTCCTAATCTACATATTGATTATTTTGTAATATATTTTGAGAGGCAAATACTGGACTCTGGATTGCAGATAGAATTTAAAACACAAAAGAAATATGTGAAACTTAGAATTTAATTATTTGGATTTTACTCTGCTGCTGCTTTTTAAACTGTAGGCTCTTACAATGGGTTATCAGGTCATTAGCATGAAGGAGATGTAAATTTCTTTCCACAGCTAATAAATTCTAGTTAACAATTAATAAAATAACTGAAAATAATGAAGGAGCTGGAAATCTCAGAAATCAGTGACACTTTGAAAATCTTGTTTACCAGAATTACTGCTAGATCTAATGGAAACAAATTTGTTATTTACATAATCCAGAGGTGACAGATAACAACATGCAATTGTGAGTCAAGTAAGAAAAATTGTTACTTTAATCCAAAACATTCTACAAATCAATCAACACAACAAATTATCAGTGTGATAATATATTCAACACATTTGACATTTACATTAATTGGAGGTAATGAAGAAAATATTTTTTGTTGTTTGTTGGATGAAGTTAAATGGGCTGGAAATGCTTATGAATAAAACATCATTATTCCTCTCACTGTACACCTGTTCAAATTTCTATTGACAATTTGATATTTTTATTAGAGCCCGAATGGAAAGACGGCAAGCACAAAGGACAATTTTTCACCCTCACAGGATAAAAGTAAACAAGCAGTGTTTTTGCCCAGCTCTCTTAAACCACAGCACTATGACAAGTGCTTATCTAGCCCCCAAACACTGCCATTTAGTCATGACTTCTGGTTTTATAAATTATTTACAGTTTGCTAGGTATGAGGCTGGTGGAAAATGCCTTTCTTAGCTGCTTGATTGACAGTATAATTATACTGTGTTTTTGTTTTAAGCACTGTTATGCAGAATTGTAATGCCATATAAAGTAAATAGGAATTTTATGAGCTTTTAACTTTGACAAGGTCATGCTGAAGCGTACCAAAGAGATGTCATGAAAAGCCATAGCCGTTATTAGCTGTGTCCTATAAGTGCCATTGCACCTCGAAGCTCCATTTGGGTTAAAACATGTATTCACCACTATCCACCTCAGCAGAGGAACTGAGGGATGCTGTAAACCACAAAAGAAGCAGTAACACTTAGTCTTTTAAAGTTTCCTTCCTCCTCCTTTAACTGCAGCCTGGTTAACAGGTTGGATTTTATAAATATAATAAAATGAGACACAAAAGCAGTATGAAGAGTTTTAGGTTTGATTTTATTTTGGGTCATGTCTTATCACATCTAAGAGGGTTTTTTTCTCTTTCTCCCATTTGTTTTTCCTTATTGATTTTTTTCTCTTCTTTTCCTTTTTAATTTTAAGCATGCTAAGGTGGTGGTGGTGTTAGTGGTGGTAGTGATGACAGTAGTGGTGGTAAGCATCCGTCATTGTTATAACATCAGTGTCACTAGCCCCACAGCTATCAGCCTTGAGTTCTCATATGGTGTCCCACATTTGCCTCAGAATAAATGCCTACTCTTTTAAAAACTGCAGCGGGATCTTTAAAATAAATAGAACAGATGGGGTTTTAAGGTCTTTCCAAAAAGGCCCATATACCATGCCAAATTCAACTTATCTAACTTGGCAGTAAGGGAGTGCTGCGTCAACCCAGTTGGAATCTGAACCCTGGGTTCTAGCTGATTGCTTACACAAAAGTTGTTCTTTGTGTAGAATGGGGCCTGAAGGTTGGGTTGGATAAGGTCTTTTCTTTTACAAAATTATTTGCTTTTTCATGGCGTGTTTCTCAGCAATGTTGGTTTTGATCTTGTTTTCATCTCCTAATATTCGGATGATATCTAAAATCTTTGGAATTGGCCTCTTTTTCATTGTACCAACAAGATGAATACATTAATATTGGTCTTATGCATCCTGCTCCAGCTTTGGTACTGTGACAACATATTTTTTCATTTCTCTCAAGTCGTTTATTCTTTGTGCTCAGCCTCCATGACCGCTATAAGAAAATGAGAAAGGAGCACTGCATGATGATGGTGGTATTGGCAGGGCACAAATGTCACTTCAGACTTTCTTGTCAACCTGTATTCCAAATGCTGCCTATCTTGGCTAAGAATGAGTGATTGCCCAGCGGTGATTCTTATGATCCATCATCTAGGAGTAAATTGTTCTGAATAATGACCTATTCCATCTTTCCCACTCAGAATATATATTACAAGATGCCTAGAAAAATACTATTTCAACTCAGTTGTAATTCAAGATCACCATAAATGCGAGGCAGAAGTCTTGGAGTCTTGGGCCTCTTAAACGTGAAACATGGCTACAAGTCAGATTCAAGCTTCTGACAATTTTCTGGGTCCATTTGCTTTCAAAATTCTGGTGGAAAGTAAATCTGTATAGTAACTGCAATAGAAACATCATGGGAAAACATTATGTGTGTGTGGTTGGGGGGGAATTTTTTTTTTTTTTTTTTTTTGAGATGGAGTCTCACTCTGTCGCCCAGGCTGGAGCGCAGCGGCGATCTCGGCTCACTGGAAGCTCCGCCTCCCGGGTTCAGGCCATTCTCCTGCCTCAGCCTCCCGAGTAGCTGGGACTACAGGCGCCCGCCACCACGCCCGGCTAATTTTTTGTATTTTTAGTAGAGACGGGGTTTCACCGTGTTAGCCAGGATGGTCTCAATCTCCTGACCTGGTGATCCGCCCTCCTCGGCCTCCCAAAGTGCTGGGACTACAGGCGTGAGCCACCGTGCCCGGCCTCGGGGCGGGGGTAGTAATTTTACTTTTGCAATATTTCAGTTTGAAAATGTAAACAGAAATTTGTTTCCTGTGATGTACTGGTACAAGACAGTATAATAATTTGATTACTTGTGAAACTAAGTTTTCTCTTCCTCATATGCTTGAGTGGATTAATTCCAGTTCTTCTTTATCTCTGCAGCATAAAGAAGGAGAGATAAATTACCACCTTCTCTCATGCGGTCTTGCTAGAAGCACACAAGCCTCATCTGCTATTCCTAACTCATCCTGGAGGATGTTTACAAAGGGGTCCTTCAGATGCAGTGCGCAAGTCCCTACAGAAAGATGAAAGGTTTCTAACTTTGAGATCGTACCTGTGATGGTGTCAGTTTATAGTCTTTTCCTTAAATACAAGAATAGGTACGACTCTCTTGTTTTATACAAAATTATAAATATGTGTGTTTGTATGAGTACATGTAAATCTACATAAGTGCATATATATATAAAACATGAACACATACAAATATATCATAAATCTTTATCTTGTGGTTATATTTATATGTACATAATTCAAACTTGCTGATATCGAGTTACATGTTGAATGTGTGAAGAAATATTATTTTCATAGGTTCTAATATAATCATTTTTGGAAAGTTATACATTATTCAAAATGCAACTGTCACGTAACAATGTATTCAAGAGAGGGACATCTGTAAGTTCACAGTCCTCATTCCTTCCTTGCATATATGGATTTACCCATGGAATAGCACAAATCTTTGCATGACACCTAAATTATCTAATTTCCCCCTAATGGATACATGTGCACTGGGAAACCCTTCCAGGTATTTTATATAATCAAATGGTTTAAATATAAGCCAAATGTGGGCAACATTGTACTTAGTTCACAACTGGGCAGTAGCAATACATTTCTGTGGTCAGGATCATTAATTAGTTTTCTTACCTGTCCTTTTAATCATCACACCTAAACTCCTTTAGTTAAAGAAATCACTCATGTTTTGATTAACTGGTTTAGTCTTCCTGTAAATGTAGCAAAGATTATGAGGAACGATTCAAAAGTCACCTTGAGAAGAGCTGAATACTGACCATCTGCATACTTAAGGTTTTATCTCTAAGCTCTGCCTGTATATTCCCTTGCTAACGGGTTTTGACTAATTAAAATTTGTTCTCAAAAAAGAAAATAAAATCACTGAGAGTGGATGAATTGCAATGTCATCAAACTCATGACAACTGCGTTCTATAAATAAGATATATTTTTGGTAAACACTTTTTCTCAGGTCAACTGTAAAAGCTGGAACATCTTCACTTGATGTACATGTTAATTAACATATATTTGCAGAATGCCTACTTTGCTAGCTCTTTATATAAATACAATAGAGAAAAATAGGTATGAATCCTATCTCATGAAGTTGTAGCAATGTGCCACAAACAGCAACCAGTTTTCCAAACTGCTTTTTCTTTTTTTTTTTTTTTTTTTTTTTTGAGACGGAGTCTTGTTCTGCCACCCAGGCTGGAGTGCAGTGCCATGATCTCGGCTCACTGCAACCTTTGCCTCCTTGGTTCAAGCAATGCCTCAGCCTCCCAAGTAGCTGGGATGATGGTATTATCCCAAGTAGTGTGCACCACTGTGCTTGGCTAGTTTTTCTATTTTTAATAGAGCCTGGGTTTCGCCATGTTGACCAGGCTGGTTTCGAACTCCTGACCTCAGGTGATACACCCACCTTGTCCTCCCTAAGTGCTGGGATTACAGGTGTGAGCCACTGCGCCCAGCCCAACAGGCCCCAGTGTGTGATGTTCCACTCCCTGTGTCCATGTGTTCTCATTGTTCAACTCTCACTTATGAGTGAGAGCATGCAGTGTTTGGTTTTCTCTTCCTGTGTTACTTTGCTGAGAATGATGGTTTCCAGCTTCATCCATGTCCCTGCAAAGGACATGAACTCATTCTTTTTATGGCTGCATAGTATTCCATGGTGTATATGTGCCACATTTTCTTTACCCCGTCTATCACTGATGGGCATTTGGGTTGGTTCCAAGTCTTTGCTATTATGAGTAGTGCTGCAGTAAACATACGTATGCGTGTGTCTTTATAGTAGAATGATTTATAATCCTTTTGTCATATACTCAGTAATGGGATTGCTGGGTCAAATGGTGTTTCTTGTTTTAGATCTTTGAGGAATCGCTACACTGTCTTCCACAATGGTTGACCTAATTTACACTCCCACCAACAGTGTAAAAGCGTTCCCATTTCTCCACAGCCTCGCCAGCATCTGTTGTTTCCTGACTTTTTAATAATCGCCATTTCTAATTGGCATGAGATGGTATCTCTTTGTGATTTTGATTTGCATTTCTCCAATGACCAGTGATGATGAGCTTTTTTCCTATGTTTGTTGACCTATGTTCTTCTCAAAAGAAGACATTTCCTGTTCATATCCAACACCCACTTTTTGATGGGGTTGTTTGTTTTTTTCTTGTAAATTTGTTTAAGTTCTTGGTAGATTCTGGATATCAGCCCTTTGTCAGATGGGTAGATTACAAAAATTTTCTCCTATTCTGTAGGTTGCCTGTTCACTCCGATGGTAGTTTCTTTTGCTGTGCAGAGGCTCTTCAGTTTGATTAGATCCCATTTGTCAATTTTGGCTTTTGTTGCAATTGCTTTTGGTGTTTTGGTCATCAAGTTTTTGGAGCTCGATATTTTTATTAACACTAATGATCACTATTTTTGCTTTTAGAAGGTGTATCAGTGAGGTTTCCAAAAAAATTTAAAAATTATTAGCTTATATTACCATCATAAGATGATAAAGTGGACTTCAGCTATGGTTTAGTCTAGAAGCTCACATTGCTTTTTAACTCTGCCTTTCTCCATGTGTCAACTTCAGGCTCAGAATGGCTTTCTTAATACCATCAAGCAATGGGTACACCAATTTCCCATGTTTGTTCTTAAACCACTCTGTGAAGAAAAAAAAATGAGGCTTCTTTTATTCCCCAAATTGATGAAAATTTCTGTACTTCATTCTAATAAGAGCAGTTTAGGTGATATGCCCATTGCAGAACCCATGTTTGAGCAAGGGACATGGAACTATATTGCTGAAATTATAGTAACCAGGGCTACCTGGAGCCAAAGCTGGGCTCTGGCACGCCCTCCATACTGATGCTGCTACATGATAGAGCAGTGGTAAAATAGATTCTGAGGAGGCAACCCTGGTGTTCAATATGGAAGAAAATACCGAGATAGAAATTTAAATCATTTCCTTGAGCTAGAATATAGTATTAACTCTAACCTTTGCCAAGATGTTGCTATTCTTTCTCTGGCATATTTTTTCCTCAAATTGGGTGAATCGAAAAGAATATTATCACTAGCTAAGGAAGAAAAATTATGATGTTCCCATTCTCCTGCAACATAGAAGCTGTGAGTCATTTAATTTCATTACAGCTATCAGAAAGTGGCAGAACTGGTGAATATTAAATGCAATTACATTTACTTATAGGGCACATACATGATCAAAGTCTACTTGTCTTACAACCCAGAGTGCAGGTGACAATGTTATGAATTTTGCAAAAGTCAGCATGAAGGGCATAGAAAAGAGTTGAGCTAAATGTGGACCACATATGTACACAGAATGTGATGCTGAGTTAAGGGAAATGATGGCAAAATTCAGGCTGGTGTGATTGGATGACAAACCGTATAGAGGTGAGTCATTTGAATAGCAATGTTCCAGAAACAATCAGTGAATTTCAAATCAGTACCTTCGCTTTCTGACAATAAAGGAACAATGAGAAGTCTCTGAGTGTTTTAGGTGGGAGGTTTAACTTCCTTGTGGCATTCACTACCACACAGTACTACAGGACAGAGGAACTACTCAGAGGATTGGAGAAGATATTGCACCTAAGTTCTACTTAAGAAAAAGAAATAAAAAATCCCTAAGGAAGAAATTCTAGGCTGTGTGGATCACTGCAGTGCTTTATATAAGATAGGAACTTCTTAAGCATGATGGTTAAGGGATTGGGTTTTGGAGTTGGTTCTGGCATGAACAGCTGAATTCCTTATCTATAGAATAGGGATGAAAATATAATTTACCCCTGAGCATTGCTGTGAGAGACAAATGAGATAACACTCATGTTGGAGCATGTCACCAGATGAAATACAGAGAGGCAATAGTTTTTTTTTTTTTTAATTTTTAATTTTTTTAAGATGGAGTCTTGGTCTGTTGCCCAGGCTGGAGTGCAGTGGCGTGATCTCGGCTCACTGCTATCTCCGCCTCCCGGGTTTGAGTGATTCTCCTGCTTCAGCCTCTCGAGTAGCTGGGATTACAGTCACTTGCCACCGTACCCAGCTGATTTTTGTATTTTTAGTAGAGACAGGGTTTTACCATGTTGGCCAGGCTGGTCTCTAACTCCTGACCTCAAATGATCTACCCTCCTGGCCTCCCAAAGTGCTGGAATTACAGGATTGAGCCACCACACCTGGACTGCCAGTAAGTATTGTTAAAGTACTTTTCTTATTGTTACTCCCTCTTTATGGCTATTGAGTCATTTATACTATTAAAAGTAGTATAGAGTCCATTGTGGTGTGAAAGGGTGGACCTCAAAAGCTCCTCGTTTCTCTCCAAACTGGCCCCCCATCTCAATCAGGTTTTAAACAATCTTGTGGGTCTGAGTGTGATGCTTAGGGATTGATGCCTGCCTCCCCCTCTGAAGATGAAAACTCGGGCCTCCAGCAGCCAGGCATGTACAGTAAATGAATGAATCATTCTATTTACACTGTGGTGATTGGGAGACTGTGTGTCCATCTAAAGTGGGGCAGGCTCTAGCAAACCTTATCCTCAGTTACTATTGTGAGAATATGAACCCGGAATTGCCAGATCTTCCAGTTTTTCAAGACAAGCTAGAAATTATTATTTTTTTTAAAATGTAAAATGTCCTCATTTAAATAAAAAGAAAACAGACGATGTCAAATAACAACAACATGCAAGCCGGATGTGGCTTGTGGGATCCCAGTTTCCTCTATCCATTCTTTGGGAACTGTATAATAGTGAGATTTAGATCGGTTTTATCAGGGTTCTTCCTTGTAACATTTACCTTGAAGTTCATGCTGCCACTTGTTATGCTTTTTTTTTCCTTTTTTTTTTTTTTTTTTTGAGACCAGAGCTTCACTCTGTTGCCCAGGCTGGAGTCCAGTGGCAGGATCTCCGCTCACTGAAACCTCCACCTCCCAGGTTCAAGTGATTCCCCTGCCTCCGTCTCCCGAGTAGCTGGGATTACAGGCATGCGCCACCACGCCTGGCCGCTTTTTGTATTTTTAGTAGAGAGAGGGTTTCGCCATGTTGGCCAGGCTGGTCTCAAACTCCTGACCTCAAGTGATCCACCCGTCTCAGCCTCCAAAAGTGCTGGGATTATAGGCATCAGCTACCGTGTCTAGCCTTGTTATTCTCTTCTAAATCTAAACCTCAACCTGTGCATTTTGACCTGCAAGTTTTTGGTCATCAAAATGACTGACTATCTCAAAAACTTTCCAATTTATGACTTCTAATTGTTGGCCAAGAGTAGGAGTGACAAACTCAAATACTTCCAGAAGCAAGGCATTTAAAGCTAATATTTCGAGCTCTCTGGATATAAAAGACTTATAAAAGGAGAGATAGAGACTGTGAGGTGTGCAGTGGTGTATACCTCCCCTTAGAGGAGAGTGACACATTTATTCTCCAAGGCAGAACACTTTGAAAATAGAGAGTGTTATTAATAATTATGCCATATTAAGAGGTGTAAAAATGGACTGTCCTGGGCAAACTTGAGTGCACAATCATCCCAGGACGTAATGACCTCTCAGGCTTAGAAACTTTTCACATGGTATCTTCAAGAACTCCTGATTCATAAAGAGAAGCCAGGCATGTGCATTTCGTGGCATACCCTCTAATTTTAAAACATTTCATGAGGTTTTAATTAATTTATATTTAAAATTTAAAAATACACAACCAAACCCACTGCCCAGCTATACCTGTCAGCCGGATCCCACCTTCTGTCCTCTAGTTTACAACCTTAATACCTGACATTATAGGTTATATCATCTTTTTTTCTCCCCATGTGTGTTTGTTTTTGTCCCTTGTTTGGGACAGTCTTTTAATTTGACTGCAGTGCATGTAAACATGACTTCTACCCATCTCAATCCTTAAACCTGATCTCTGAAGAATAAACTTGCTTCTACCATGTCTCAGATCCACTTTAGCCATCTACTTCTAGGCTCCTGCTTACGGTGACTTTTAACTATGCCCATTGGAAATGAGGTACTTTCAGCCTCACCTTTGTAATCCTGGTCTTTAGGTCTCATTGTCAATATCAGGTGCTTTGAAAAGATGTCCTTCAAAACTTTTACTTCTATTCTTTGGCAGACAGCTACCTTTGTCAAATTTACTAAATATAAGGCAATTGGGAAACATAAAATAAGTATAGTCCTATATCAATAAACCTAGAACTGGCACACACAATTTTATAAATAAATATGGTTGCTGTAAAGTCACCACAAAGCTCAAAATTGAGCATAAAATATACCAGCAATGGTAAATATAAGATTAGTGAAATTTTCATAATTGCACTATTTTGTTAGGAAATTAAGAAATTTTCAAAGTGAATCTCTCTGAGTGTTAGATTTAATACATGCATACTCTAAAATAAACTCTCAGCAAATGAATAAATGCATCAGTGAAAGCAATACATCTTCCAGAGTTAAATTTGTGCTTATATGATGTACAGTGATTTTACTTGCATGTACATATTTAATAGGTGTGTAATCTTCTAGTTTGAATGAGAGTCATCATTTATGCAGGCACCAAGAATTGGCAAAGAAAATAAACATTAAATTGGGTTTAAATGTTCCTCAAAATTGATTATAGCAAATTACCCAAACTAAAGCTATATTTAGAAGTAAACCTAGGAAATCTTGTTTTGGCAGATGATATAGGTCTCCTGACTAAAGATGTACAAATTCTTTCCTGAGGGCTTAGAAGAGTGCTTCTGGAGCCAAGGGGCAGAGCTAGGGAGACTGTTTTGATTCACTTTCACAGTCAAAGTTACACACCAATAAATTTTATATTTTGATCCAAGAGTTCAGTTTCAAGTAGGTGATATTTCCCAGAATTCAAAAACTAGTGGGCATATTTTTATGACTGTCTACTTGATCATAATTGGCACATGATGAAATCTTTCCCTCAGTTAGCACAGGTTGAAGTATCTGAAGTTTGAAGACTTTGATTTATCTTTATACACCTCTCATAACCCCTCATTACACTCTGTCCTATATCTCTTCATCGAAAGCCTCAACATTTCCACGAGTTAAATTTTCTTTTCTACTAGATCTGGTTAGGTCTTCAAATGGTCTTCAGTATGCTGTTAGCACTCTTTGTATTTTCAAATATACTTAGAATTAATTCTATTCTATGTTGTATACCTATATTCTTATTCTCATATTCTATAGGGATAGAACATGAGAATAAAATTAATATATAAATAATATATTGTATTATGGCATAAAATATAAGAATAAATTGATATATATACATCCTTTCATATATATATGTTCATTAATGTATGTATATATAAGCCATTAACAGGCAATGTTCTATGAATATAAAGATGAATATAAATAGTAGCAGCCTTCACATAATCATGACCTGGCAGAACAAAGTACATGGGATTATACATTAATAACATAATAACCACTACTTCCACTGCTGCCAATGGCAAATTTACATGATCTAAGACTTGCTAACTGAATACTGTGTGTCATTACTCTGTTCGTTTCCCTATAAACTGATTATTATTTGGCATTATCTGCTCATTTCATAGATATAGGTTATTTAGAGATGAGGAAACTGAGGATTGGCAATTTAGAAATTTATTCTTTAGTAAGTTGGGAGGTCAATTATTGGAATCCAGGAGGGCTGACTCTAAATCCTTGGGACTTGGCTGCTATGGGACTCAGGCAGAGAACCAATTAGTTACACATGAGAGGATTAGGAAGATTTCATAGAAAGGATTTTTTTCTATTTATTTTATAATATATATTAAGTACCTATTATGAGCTGGGTACTGTGCAAGATGCTAAAAGGACACATAAAAATAAGACACAATGTCTCCCCTTAAAGTGTTCACTCACTAGTAGGGAAGATGGCCTCATTTAAAAAAATGACTGACAGGGAGATAAGGGCAATAATAGAGACATATGGAATGAGGGCAACAGGGAGCCAGGCACCTGCTTGAGTGGGTGAGGAATGGCTTCACAAGGAAAAGACAAGTCCTACTGAGACTTGAAAAATAAGATAGAATTGACAGATGGCCAGAGTGTAGTTCATCTGTGGCTCAGCATGTGGAAAGGTATGGAGGTTTGAAATATCATTATATATATGGGAATATTGAAGCTGGGACTTTAGTGGATGTGAGGAGCTTCTTGGGTCTAGTTGGGTAAGTAGGACAAGATCAAAGTAGTCTTTGGGTAGGAAGTATAACATGGTATTCTTTATAGTCCTTCTTATTAAAGACTATAAAATTTTATCCTATATGGTATGTGGAGCCATTAAGAAAGTAATCTGGGGTGATGCGGGTATGGTAAAATAACCACATGTGTGGTTTTAAAATAGGGCAAGAGAGCAGAGAATTAGTAGGATTTGTCTAGGCTCCACAGTGAAGAAAAGTACTTCAGAAGGGACAGGGAGAAGGCACAACAGAATGACACCACATGATATCTTCAAGGAAAAATGAGTAATGCAAATGGCAGAGAGAGGGACTGAGTGAGACTGAATAGGTTGACTAGGGTAGATTTTAAAGGACATTCAATTCCATGCATAGGAACTGTTTTGTTCTAGAAGAGATGTCCAGAATAATAATGTGACCATATCTAGCTTTTAGACAGATAAATCTAGTGGAAATCAAGAGCAATGATTGTCGCCAGACAGCCCAGCGAGTAGGTTTTGTGATAGTCCAAGTGTGATGAGCGAAAAAGAATAAAAAATGAAGTAGCAAGTAAAATGGAAACAGGATAGTAAATTTCAAAGGATTCTATGTGGAAACATTATGACTTAGCATAGAAAAGGATGGACATGGTGGGAAACAGGGCAGAATTAAAGACTATTCTAATGTTTGCCTATGTATTCTAGTCATGAATTGTTTTGTACTATAACATTTATAATGTGTAGGTGATCTATCTTCTCAAATACCTTATATTAAAAAAGTATCTTGTTTAAATTAAAAGTGGATCAAATTAGAGATGGACAAGGCCTAGCAATAGTTGGAAAAAAGGAGATGGCGACAGAACAGTGAAGCAGATAAGAAGATATCCAAGAAGCAGATAAAAAGATATCCAAAATTTCTAGGCAACGAGAATCAGGGATGAGGGAAATACATATGGGAAGATTCAGGGATTTTATTTCAGTCTTGAGGGGTATTAGATCCTCACAAATATCTGTTCAACTATTTAACCCTGGAGTATGGATTCAAGACAAAAAGATAGGAATCAAGACAGATAACTAGAAAGGTACAAGGCAGTGTCTTGGTCACAAGAAAGAAGACAAAACCTACTTTTTGGTTAGAAAGTCTGAGTTGACTCAGTAGTACTGCTGAATTGGTGGTAAGCTAATAAATTCTTGTCCCTGGCTCCTTCTATCTGTCTAGAAACAGGCTGTATCCTAAAGTCTGCAGAGAGCTAAACCCATAGACACAACTCACACCTCCACAGAGTCAGAGAAGTGCAGAACTCTAAGTGAGGCACTGCATGAGTAGAAGCTTTTGGAAGGGAGGAAAGGGAACAACTGTTTACTGCACTTCTCTTTCTGTGCTGGGTATTGTGGCCACTGGTAACAATACCGAGACATAGATTTTATTATTCCCATTTTACACACTTGGAAAACTAATTAGTGGTAAATTGTCAAAAATTGCAGAGCTAATAGGATAAGCTGGGTCTGCTCTGTTTAATTCCAAAGCCAAAACAAATTCTGCCATCCCATGCTTGCCCCCAGGAGTAATCCACAAGACCTACTTTAAAATGCTCAGCACATGCATGTATATATATACACCCACACACACACAGACACACACACACACACTGCCCAATAGATAACACTGCAAATACCTCCCAAATCAAAGAAGTGACTCTGTTTCTCAGTCCAAAAATAAATTGATGAGATATTCTTTCAGCAAAACACAAAGCAGAAATATATTACCCTAACTTCCCCTATTCCCTGGTAACCTTAACTCCTTGCCCCTCCTGACCTTTCGTGACACCAATAGGGTTCTAAATGAAGCAGTCACTACCATGCTTTTCTTTCCTTGCTAACTGAAGTCCACCTAGCTGCTGATTTTTTCATCATCATATCCCTGCTTATGATTGGAAGAGAAATTGTAAAACATGCTTGGATTCACTTAGACCAAGTAAGAGCAAGGGGTCATTTGAATGACAACTTTCCAGTTCTGTAGAAATTCTGTGTCTGACCTAATCAATAAATCATGTAGAGTCATCAGGTCAGGAGTAAGAATTCCCTTGTCACCTCACTAACAGAACTTCAGCCTCTGAAATACTTTTGAGAACTGGAAGTCCAATCAAGATGGTGCAGGAAATGGTGCAACCAAAGTGATGTGAGGTGAGACACTGACCATCTGCCGAAGAGGCCACAAGCTGGGATTCATCTCTGCTGATTTTATAATATTTCTGCTATAAAAATATCCTTTGCCTTAAGACAAATAAATTAGCTTTTGTAATGGGGAGTGTTAATTCATTTCTTCTAAATCATAAAAAAAATTTGCTCAAATGCTAAGATTTGCACGAAATTCTCTAGCAGCCAGACTGTGTACATTCACTGTGTCTTTTTATTTCTTCACTACTTTAGCTAGGTAGATGATTAATAAATATTATCTGATTATTTCATAAAGACTCTGTGAATCACACTAAGCATCTGTGTTTTTCTTGTATCCCTAACATATTTTATTTTAGACAACCGTGCTTTCTTGTCCCTGCATTCTATGCAGCATGATTTATTAAGCACCTTAATCCAGCTTTTTGATAAACTATAAACTGTCTCCCATAAAAAAAAAATGAGCTTTATTTTTAAAAGACACAGACTTGTTTGCACTTGATTGTGAAGGAATCCTAAGTCTTCAAGGGCCATGAAGCTTAGAGCCCAGGATGAGGTTGTTGCTTTTATTCTCATTACAGATTCTCTACATGGCTTCCTTACAGGGTGAGGCTTTCCTTTCCACATCAAAAATAACTCATAGTTTCTGTTGTACTATTTCACCCACTCACCCCCCACCCCCCAAAAAAAAATAAGAAGAAAAAGAGAATTTGTATGTTTTGGAACAGATTTCAAAAAACAACGTGTGGTTAAGAATGGTATCACACAGCTCATAGTTTTAATTTTTAATAATCAACAGACACATTTTGAAATACAACAAACCCAACCATCCTACAAATGTATGCTCAGAATCTACAAAGAGCAAGACACTGTGCTGAGTGCTGGCAAGTGTTAAGGTTGAGGGAGCCAGGCTCTAATTTCAAGGAGGACTAAGTAGAATGGGATTCTTCCCTGAAAGAACATACAACACACAGCAAGTAAAAAAGAAGGCAAACTGTTTCACACTCTGTAACTAAAATATTAACAAAATACTAAATGAGAATCAATACAAAACCAAACAAAAAAAAAGTCCAGACATTTTATCTACATTCACCATTAGTCCCAAATTTCCTGGAACTAAAAGAATGTTGAAAACTCTTGACACTTAAAAAAAAAATCTTATTTATAACTCACTTGAAGGTAGGAAGGAAAGAATCAGAAAGACATCCACGATATTTGGAAAGCAAGAAGCAGGGATATTGGAAACACATAAATAATGACTGGAAAAGTATAACTGAGTCCTAGGGAGTGCTGGATTCCCAATAAATGTCTGTTCAACTACTCAGTGAACAGATCAACCCTAGAGTAGATAATCAAGGCAAAGATAAGTGTGGAAGAAAAAGACAGGTAAGATACAAGGCAGATATACATGAATGGTATATGTGTCTATGTTGAAATAAAACAATGTAGGTTATCTAGCTGTAGAAATTTAAAAGCAGATACACTTTTTTTTTTTCTCCAGAAGGTGTACCCCATGCTTATGCTGATAACATTAGTTTGTCTCAAGTAGTGTGATAGAATCATACTTATTTCCTGCATGGTGGTGATAGTGGGGATAAGGATAGTGAAGGCAAAATAACTTTGTAATAAAATAGCCATGTGTTGAAGTCCAGCAGATTTGGAACTAAATTCTGCCTCTGTCACTTCCTAGGGCCTCTGACCTTAGGCAACTCATTGCCCTTTTACGAATTTGTCTGTTGTCATCCGTAAAATGAGCAAAACAATCTTTTCACAAGATTTACAAGTTAATATAGGTTAAACATAGGACAGTGCCTGGTAGACAGTGAGAGCTCAATCAAAGATGGAAGGAAGATAGTAAGAATAGTGGCAACCTTATAGGTCACTGGGACAGTGGATTGTTAAACTGATTTGGCATAACAATTAATGGCATAAGAATTGATTCCAGTTTCTACAAAACTTTTATGTGTTGTATGTTAAGTTCAGAGTGATACATTTAGAAGGGGCCAAAGCAGCCTACTTAAAATTATCCTGGGGAAAAAAGCATTGTTGGTGATATTGTCAGTTTGTTCCAGTTGACATAATTTCTTCTAGTCTTTCTGCTTGTTTTTCTCAAGTATTGATCTCAGCTCCATTTCTGGCATTGCCTAGAATCTCTTCCTTGGCAATATGATGGCTGAAACACAGAACGCTATGCCTCTTCCTAGTTTTCTAGTTCTCAATAATCCCTTGTCTTACCCAATTTTAGACCACAACCTAGAGCAGATGCTACTGTACCCTATGGGCTATACTTGATAGTATATCAAGTATATAAGTGAAAATGCATTTTCTTTGGCTGTGCATTTATTTTATTTTTTAAGCAAGTTTTCTTATTTTTTTAGATAGAGTCTTGCTCCGTCACCCAGGCTGGAGTTCAGTGGTGTGATCTCAGCTAACTGCAACCTCCACCTCCCAGGTTCAAGCAATTCTCCCTCCTCAGCCACCCAAGTAGCTGGGATTACAGTTGGATGCCACCATGGCTGGCTAATTTTTGTACTTTTAGTGGAGACGGGGGTTCCAGCATGTTGGCCAGGCTAGTCTTGACCTCTTGATCTCAAGTGATCTGCCAGCCTCGGCCTCTCAAAGTGCTGAGATTACAGTCATGAGCCACGGCGCCCAGCCCACATTTTTTATTGGTACGTAATAGATATGCCGAGTTTGAGGATACATGTGATAATTTAATACAGTTATATAATTTGTAGAGACTAAATCAGTGTATTTGAGATATTTCTTACCTTAAATATTTGTCTTTTCCTTATGCTAGAAACATTTAAATTCTTCTCTTCTAGCTATTTTGGAATGTACAATAGATTATTGTTTACTATAGTTACCCTCCTGATCTATCTAACACTAGGTCTTACTTATTCTATCAAACTATTTGTAACCGTTAATCATGTGCAGTTATTTTTAAACATAAAAGTGATTCTCATAAAATTTTCAGCTT
This sequence comes from Homo sapiens, assembly GCF_000001405.40. Lineage (NCBI taxonomy): Eukaryota > Metazoa > Chordata > Mammalia > Primates > Hominidae > Homo > Homo sapiens. Next base: position 166,243,163 of record NC_000005.10, on the reverse strand, counting down.
TCCTCATAAAGAAACCCAAATACCTCACCCCAGAGTCCCTAAAAACGGTAATTGGCTGGAGATAAGCAGGGGTGTAGAAGACACCAGTGACTAGCATCCTTTATTTCCTCTCCTTTTCCTGGCAGAAATATGTCAGTTCAGATATACAACTTCAAGTAGCCTTTATGACTCCATGAAAGGTGACCCCTTCAGTTTCTGAATTTTCTCTTTTAGGAGAAATGTGTTCCTCCTAGAACATATGACCAAATATGGGCTGATGAGATGTTAGGAGATACTTTCTTGGGCTTCTAGAAAAGTTCCTTCCTCCTATATCTTCTGAGAAGCTTCCCAAGCTGTCCCTCCCCTTTCTCCTAGATACTATTGGTCACGATCATGAGGCTTGGAACTGCTGCAGTCATCTTGCTACTACTGTCTTGAAGATAAAACCCTACACAAAGGAAGACAGAGCCAGGGGAATTTCAGGGAGACAGAGGAATAAACATTAGAATCAGTCAGTTCAAAATCCCACATTACCACTGAACTTACTATTATACTAGCCAGTAGTTCTTTTCATCCATTTTTAATTAGGTGGTTATTGCCTATGCCTGAAAGAACAGGAGAGTACACAAGTGCACCCCACTCATCTCCACAGCAACATCTCTTCATGCACGTTCCCTGCCCTTCTTCATTCCTTTTAGCATTTGAGTTTGTATATTTTATTACAGATATATGCTGAAATAAATTCTGGCCAGGAAAATATCAGGTTTTGCGGTGCTTCAGGAGTCAAGAGTGAAATATGGTAACTGGTGACTTCCCCTCTTTTTAAAAAAGGATTGACAGAACAAACCCTCCCAGGATATGTCTCCTACTTTTCTATTTGTGGATAAGGTTTCTGTCCAGGGGTTGGTACAAAATAGTACTTCAAGGTGAGGGTTGTAAGATCAAACTGCTTAGGTATAAATTCTGGTCCTTTAGCTTGCCATCTGCTTAACTTGCTCTAAGTGACACATTTTAAAATCTTCAATATTCTTATCTAAAACCAAACTTATTGGGCAGTTGTAAGAAGAAAATGACACATAATATATGTAAAGTATTTAGTAGACTCCCTAATCCACATGAAATACTCAACATCTAGTTCCAAAAAAAAAAAAGACGTATTAAAACCAAGACAATTATTTTAATGATTTTGAGTCAATATATCTCAACTAGGAAATGGCTCTTTAAAATGCAGTTTAAATGATGGTATAAAGAACAAATAGTCAAATGTAGGCATATATTTTTCTTTATTGAGCTTTATCATTTTTTGACCTAACATCTTTGATTAACACCCAAAAAATTAACTTCTAACATTAAAACACTGCATTTATATATCCTCAACCTTGTATAGGGGTATTATATTGTTTATGTTGCAAAAAGAGACATTTATGAGCTTCCTCTGCAATGCATCAGAATATTTATTTAAGAATTTTATTTGAGGACGGATACCTTGGACACCTCCTGTAAATGTTTCCCAAGAAGTACATTCCAACTTGGGAAGAATTCTCCGTTTAGACTTTAAATAGAAAACCACAATTAAAAAAGAAACAGATAAAAATTGCATATATTTGGAATTTTGACTCACATAATTAAAAAGAGTGGTATTCTACTCAAAAGGCAGGAAATAAACTGGTAGTTGCCACGAATCCACTGAACTTTGTTGCTGGCATCATTCAATAGCTTAGCTCAAGAATTTTTGCATGCTTTTACTCAACAAAAACTTTTCAGTCATTAAATTAATGTATGCACCTTGGGCAGAATATAAATTAAATTAACCTTTTTTGAACTGTTACATTTGTTCTCAAGGTTTTAACTAAGAAGAGGTGTGGATTGAGTTAGAAAGAATGAGTACCACTGTATCCCCACCTTTTGCTTGTAACTAGGGTATGTTTACATTAGCAGATTCAGTCTGGATTAAAGTGAAAGTCAGAGATCTAGGAATTATAATTTGAGCTTCAGTCCTGCTAGAACCGTATGATATAAGTAATTCCTCTGCCTCCTTAAAGACTTAGTTTCTTTTATAAAAATAGATACAACATTTGTGCTTTCCTTTTTTTTAAATTTTTAAAATTGTAGTAAAATATATATAAAGTTTACCATCAACCATTTTTAAGTGTGCTGTTCAATAGCATTAAGTACATTCACATGAATGTGCAAGCATCAGCATCATCTGTGTACAGAACACTTTTCATCTTGCAAAACTGAAACTCTATACCCATTAAACAAGAGCTTCTCAATCCATTCTCCCACAGACCCTGCAAACCACCATTCTACTTTCTATCTGTATGATTTTGACTATTCTAAGTATCTCGTATAAGTGGAATCATACAGTGTCTTTTTGTGACTGACTTATTTTCCTTAGCATAATGTCCTTAAGGTTCATCCATGTTGTAGCAAATGTCAGAATTTTCTTCTTTTTGAAAGCGGAATAATATCCCATTGTATGTATACAATACACTTAGTTTATCCATTCGTCTGTCGGTGGACCCTTGGGATGCTTTCAAATTTTAGCTATTGTGAATAATGCTGTTATGAACACAGATGTACAACTATCTCCTCAAGACTCTGCTTTCAATACTTTGGGGTATATACTCAGAAGTGGCTTTGCTGGATTATATGGTAATTCCGTTTTTAATTTTTTTTTTTTTGAGGAACTGCCATACTATTTTCCACAGTATACCATTTTACATTCCCACCAACAGTGCACAAGGGTTTCAATTCTCTACATCCCCCTCAGCACTAAATTTCTGCATTTAAAAAATAGTAGCAATGTTAATGGGAATGAGCTGGTATTTCATTGTAGTTTTAGTTTGCATTCCCTTAATGATTAATGATGTTATGTAGTTTTTAATCTGTTTATTGGCCATTCGTGTATCTTCTTTGGAGAAATATCTACTCAAGTCCTTTGCCCATTTTTGAACTCTGTTTTTCTTTGCTGTTGAGTTTTAGGTGTTCTCTATATATTTTGGATTTCAATTCTTTATCAGATATATGAATTGCAAATATTTTCTCCCATTTTGTATGTTGCCTTTTTACCCTGTTGATAGTGTCTTCTGATGCACAGATTATTTTTTAATTATTAAGTTCAATTTGTCTATTTTTTCTTTTGCTGCCTGTGCCTTCAGTGTCATCTCTAAGAAATCACTGAAAATCTAATGTTGTGAAGAATATGCCCTATGTTTTCTTCTAAGAGCTTTAGAGTTTTAGGTCTTATATTTAGGTCATGAATCCACTTTGAGTTAACTTTTGTATATGGTATTAGGTAAGAACACAGCTTCATTCTTTTGCATGTGAATATCCACTTTTCTCTGCACCATTTGTAGAAAAGACATTCTTTTTCCCCTTGAATGGTCTTAGTACCCTTGTCAAAAACCATTTGACTTATATGAGAGGCTTTATTTCTGTTTTTCTATTCTGTTTGATTGGCCTATATATATATATATTCTTATGTCAATATACCACTCTTGATTATCGTAGCTTTGTAGTAAGTATTCTAATTAAGAAGGAAGTATGAGTCCTTTGGTTGTGTTCGCTCTCTTTTTTTTTTTTGTTGTTTTTTTTTTGTACAGCATTGTTTTGGCTATTCAGGGTCAATTAAGATGCCATATGAATTTTAGAATTTTTTTCTATTTCTGCAAACCACCATTGGGATTTTAGTAGGAATTGCATTAAATCTATAGATTGCTTTGGGTAGTACTGACATGGTAACAATATTAACTCTTCCAATCCATGAACATGGGATGTGTTTCCATTAATTTATGTCTTCTTTATTTTCTTTTAGCAATGTTTTGTAATTTTTATCATACCAATCTTTCACTTTCTTGGATACTTTTTAAATATTTTGTTCTTTTTGGTGTTATGGTAAATGAAATAGTTTATTTTCTTTTAAATTGTTTATTGTTAGTGTATAGAAATGTAACTGAGTTTTGCATGTTGATTTTGTATCCTGCAACTTTCCTGAATTTTCTAATTAGTTCTAAAAATGTTTCTCTGAAATCTTTAAAGTTTTCTAAATATAACATCATATCATCTGTGAAAAGAGATTATCTAGTTTAGATGCCTTGTTCCTTTTTTTTGCAAAATTTCTCTGGCTATAGGTTCTAGTACTATGTTGAGTAGAAGTGGTGAAAGTGGGCATTCTTGCCTTATTCCTGATCTTTGTGGAAAAGCTTTCAGTCTTTTACCATTGAATATAATGTTTGCTGTGGGATTCCTCGATCTCCTGACCTTGTGATCCACCCGCCTCAGCCTCCCAGAGTGCTGGGATTACAGGCGTAAGCCACCATGCCTGGCCTGCTGTGGGATTACTATGTATGGCTTTTATTATGTTACAATACTTTCTTTCTATTTCTAGTTTAAGTATTTTTATTATGAAAGTGAGAGGTGAAGCCAGCTGGATTCTGGATTGGGTGGGGACTTGGAGAACTTTTCCTTCTTACAGGAGGATTGTAAAATGCACCAATCAGCACTCTGTGGCTAGGATTGAAAAAGGTACCAATCAGCACTCTGTAGCTAGCTAGAGGTTTGTAAAACGCACAATCAGTGCTCTGTAAAATGCACCAATCAGCACTCTGTGGCTAGCTAGAGGTTTGTGAAATGCACCAATCAGCACTCTGTAAAAATGCACCAATTAGCTCTCTGTGGCTAGCTAGAGGTTTGTAAAATGGACCAATCAGTGCTCTGCAAAATGACCAATCAACACACTGTAAAATGGACCAATCAGCACTCTATAAAATGGACCAATCAGCAGGACATGGGTGGGGACAAATAAGGGACTAAAAGCTGGCCACCCCAGCCAGCAGTGACAACCCACTTGGGTCCCCTTCCACGCTGTGGAAGCTTTGTTCTTTCGCTCTTCACAATAAATCTTGTTGCTGCTCACTCTTTGGGTCTGTGCCACCTTTAAGAGCTGTAACACCGCGAAGGTCTGTGGCTCCATTCTTGAAGTCAGCGAGACCAAGAACCCACCAGAAGGAACCAGCTCCAGACATAAAAGGATGCTGAATTCTGTCAAATGCTTTTTCTGTATTGTTTGGGCTATTCAGATCAATATGTGGTTTTTTCCTTCATTCTGTTGTATAATAAACAACATACATCAGTTTTTGCACGTTAAGTCATTCTTGTTTTACAGGAATAAATTCCACTTGGTCATGTTGTATGATCTTTTAAGTGTGCTGTTGAATTTGGTTAACTAGTGTTTTGTCAAAGATTTTTGGATCAAAGTTTATAAGAAATATTGGTCTGTAGTTTTCTCGTAGTGTCTTTGTCTGGCTTTGGGATCAGGGTAAGGATGGCCTTACAGAATCAGTTTAGAATGTGCTCTCCTCTTCAATTGTTTCAGAAGAGTTTGAGAAATGTTGATGTTCTCTTTAAATGTTTGGTAGAGTTCACTTGTGAAACCATGAGATCCAGGGCATTTCTTTGTCAGGAGATTTTTGATTACTGATTCAATGTCCTCAGTATTACAGATCTATTCAGATTTTCTATTTCTTCATGGATGAGTCTTAGTAGCTTTTGTATTTACACGAATTTGTCCATTTCTTCTAAGTTATCCAACTTGTTGACATACAATTGATCACAATTTTCTCTTATAATCCTTTTTATTTCTGTAGAATTGGTAGGAATATCCCCACTTTTATTTCTAATTTGAGTAACTGGACTCATCTCTTTAGTACATCTAGCTATAGAATTGACAATTGCATTGTTCTTTTCAAAAACTCCACTTTTAGTTTTATAGATTTTCTTTGTTTTTTTTTTTTTCATTTCTTTGTTTTGTTTTTCTCATTTCTAATCTTTATTTTTTCCTTCCTGCTGCTAGTTTTGGGTTTTGTTTTGTTTTTCTTTTTCTAGTTTCTTAAGTTGTAAACTTGGGTTGTTAATTTGAGGTCTTTCTTTTTTTTTTAATGTAAGCTTGTAGAGCTATAAATTTTCCCTGTTGTTCCCTGCTTTGCTATATCTTATAGTTTTGGCATACTGTGTTTTTGTCTTCATCTATCTCTAAACATTTTCTCTAAAGTTGCTTTGTGATTTCTTTTTTGATCTATTGGTTGTTTAGAATTGTGTTATTTAATTTCTACAAATTAGTACTTTTTTGGTTCCTTTTGTTATGAATTTTTAACTTCATCCCATTGTGGTAGGAGAAGATACTTTGCATGATATCTATCATTTTAAATCTACTGAGACTAATTCGAGGCCTAACATATTGTCTATCTTAGAAGATGTCCATGTGCATTTGAAAAGAATGTGTACTCTATTGTTATTAGGTAGTGTGCTGTATATGCCTGTTAGATCTACCTGGTTTATTGTGTTGTCTAAGTCCTCTACTTCTTCATTTATCTTCTGTCTACCTGTTATATTCAATATAGAGAGTAGGGTATTGAAGTCTCCTATAATTACTGTAGAACTGTTTATATCTTTCATCATTTCTGTCCATTTTTCTTTATATATTTTGATGGTCTGTAATCAGGTAAATTAATGTTTGTAATTGTTAGATCTTGCTGTATTGAAACTTTTATTAATATGTAACATCTTTGTCTCCTAAAAACTTTTTTGATTTAGTCTGTATTATCATATGTAGTATAAGCCAGTCGTGCTCTGTTTTGGTTTCTATTTAGATGGAACATCATTTGTCATCCTTTCAGTTTCAACCTATGTGTGTCTGGATCTAAAGTCAGACTCTTAGGGACTATTCAATTATAGTTGAATTATTTTTAAACATCCATTCTGCTACCTGTGTCTTTTTATTTAAGAGTTTAGCCAATTTACATGTAAAGCAATGAATGCAAAGGAAGGACTTACCAAAATCATTTTACTATTTGTTTTCCATATGCCTTATAGCTGTTTTGTTCCTCATTCTGTATTACTGAATTATTTTGTATTTAGTTGATTTTCTTTGTAGTGAAATGTTTACATTCTCTTCTTTTTTTTTTTTTTTTTTTTTTTTGTGTTATGTTCTTTAGCTATTGTCCTTGTAGTTACAATGAGGATTTTCTGTAACATCCTAAGTTATAACACTCTAATTAGAATTTATAACAGCTTAACTTAAACAACCTACAAAAAATTTGCTTTTTTAACAGCTCAGTCCCCACTTCTTTTAGTCGTTGATGTCACAAAGTTACATCTTTATACATTGTGTGTCCAAAAACATAAGCTAATTAATTTTAAAAAACATTGGTCTTTTAAACTGTCCAGAGAATAAATTTAGAGTTACAAGCCACAGTTATAATAATACTACCTTTTAATCTAATAATTTTTAAAATATATATTAGTCTCTTAAATCACAAAGGAAACAAAAAGTGGACTCACACACCATTGTTACAATAATTTTATAATTTCCCATGTATTTACTTTTACAGAGATTTTTATTCCTTCATAGGAATTCAAGTTTTACTGTCTAATGTCCTTTTATTTCAACTTGATTGACTACCTTTATAATTTCTTTCATAGTAGGTCTTGGGAAAAAAAAAAAAAGTCGTAAAGTTTTGTGTATATGGGAAGTCCTAATTTCTCTTTCAGCTTTTAAGAAGAATTATGTGGGATATAGAATTCTTGGTTATTTTCTTTGAATATAGCTTACAAGAATTCCGCTAATAATTTTACTAAGAGGCCCTTATATATGACAAGTTGCTTTTCCCTTGTTGCTTTCAAAATTCTTTGTCTTTCCACAGTTTAATTATAATATGTCTTGGTGTGGGTCTGCCTTTTTGAATGCATTCTATTTGAAGTTAGTTAAGATATTTGGATGTTAATATTTATGTCCTTCATCAAATTTGGGAAGACTTCAGACTCTTCCTTTTAGTATTTTCTCTGCCTTTTTCTTTGTCTCTCTTCTCCTTCTGAGACCCTACAATGTGATGTTGTTCACTTGATGGTGTCCCACAAGCCCCTTAGGCCTATTCACTTAAAAGAAGTTTTTATTTTTGTTTCTCAAACTTGATAATCTCCACTGTCCTATGTTCAAGTTCAGATTCTTTCTTTTGCCTGATTAAATCTGTCTTTAAATCACTCTAGTAAATTTTTATTTTAGTTATTGTACTTTCCAGTTCCAGAATTTTTTTAGGTTTTCTATTTTTTAATTGATATTCCCGTCTTGTTATACATTGTTTTCTTGACTTTTTCTATGCCTTAAACTTGCCCAATTTGTTTTGTAAGACAGTAGTTTTAAAGTACTTGTCTAGTAGATCCACCATCAGCTCTTTTTCAGGAAGAGTTTCTGTTCATTCATTTCTCTCCTTTGAATGGGACATCCTTTTCTATTTTTTTGTATGCCTTGTGATTTGTGTGTGTAGTACCCTGGACATTTTATTTTAATAATGTGATAACTCTGGAAATTATATTTCCTCCCTTCTCTCAGGTTTGCTGGTGTTTTTGTTTGGTTTTGCTTTTGGTTTTTTATTGTTGTAGGCTGTATCTGTATAGAGGATTAGTTAGAGGTATAAACTCAAAGTCTTCTCTGGTGTTTTCTCAGCCTGTGTCTTCCCCTGTGCATGGACAATGACTTTCTAATTTCTCCATATATGAAATTACTTTTTTTTTTTTTTTGAGACAGGATCTCATTCTGTTGCCTAGGCTGGAAGGCAGTGGTGACTGGCATGATCTCAGCTCATTCCAACTTCCATCTCCTGGGTTCAAGTGATTCTCCTGCCTCAGCCTCCTGTGTAGCTGGGATTACAGGTGTTCACCACCACGCCTGGCTAATTTTTGTATTTTAAGTAGAGATGGGGTCTCACCAAGTTGGCAAGGCTGGTCTTGAGCTCCTGACCTCAGGTGATCCACCTGCCTCAGCCTCCCAAAGTGCTAGGATTACAGGCGAGAGCCACCACACCTGGCCTGCAATTACTTTTCAATATCCTTGTTTTCAATGTCTGGCTCCCAAAAGGAGGAAAAAGAGAGAAATGAAGGAGAAAAATTTATTGGTCCTTTAAGTTCCCTGGAAATCATTTCAATTAGAGGAGAACTGGCTTGCAACAATAAGGAGGGGGAGTCACAACAAAAGTGGGCACTGCCTCTTTGTCTGCACCTCTGTGATCAGAAACAGAAGTCAGTAATCACAGCAAAGATCTCTGACATTTGGAAAGCAGGGTTATTTTTCATCAACCCTGGCCCTGCAATCTGTGTGTGAGCTGCTGGGGACAAGGGATGGGTAGCTCTTACTGTGCTATGAGGTGAAATGGTCATAAATTAACTGAAATGTACCATCTAAGCCTTCCCTTGGAAGTTGCAAGCCTTCAACAGACTCCAGAGTTTCAAAATATTTACATCAGACTGATTCTGCCAGTGCAATTTTTGTGTAGGTAGGGAGACAGACTTCTAGTGCTCCCTACTCTCGTCAGAAGCCTTCTTGTCAGAAGCCTTCCATCCATGCTTTATTAACCACAGGATAAAATAATATAGTAGATGGGATTGTATTGTGAAAAAATTAAGAGAATTGGAGGAAGGCAAATTATTATGTATAAAAAAGTAACTTAAAAATCATTATTTTCTCCAAAGTACCTGGTGACTTTATAGTGAGGTATAATTTACACAGAGTGAATGCATAGATCTTAAGAACACAATCAATTTTAACAAATATATACACCAGTAACCTACATGCCTGTTAAGATATAGGGCATTTCCTTTATTCTAGAAATATTTCTCATGCTTCTTCACACCCAGTTCACTCCCCTCACTCAAAGCAAGAACTCTTCTGATTTTCATCACCATTGATTTGCTTTGCAGGTTCTAGAACTTTGAAGAAGTGGAAGTATAGAATACATGGCCTATTGAGCCTGAATTCTGTCCTTCAACATAACCAATGTAGATCTCTGAGATTAACCAATGTAGATCTTTGTCCCCCTTTTTACTCCCATGTAGTATTCCATTATAAATAAACGTACCCTTTATTCAATAATCTATCCTTTTCTAGTTAGACAAGAGAGAGGATTGTTTCTAGGTTGTAGCTCTTACTAGTAAGGCTGCCGTGAATATCCTTGTACAAGGCTTTTGTGGACATATATTTTTGTTTCTCTGAGATGCATACCTAGAAACATCATGCAACTTTACAAGAATCTAATTTAAGCATGGACCCTAAGAGTGATTTCCTCAAGTGTCATGGCTATTTTAATATTCAACCTAGAGGAATTCCAATATTATTTTCTAAGAATCTGCACCCCATAGTGAAGATGGCCTCTTCTGCCAAAGGAGGACCTATGTTGCCAAAGAACATCAGTATAATCTTCATCAAGTTGCCGCTTTCCTTCCTCTGAGCTCTCTCTATGTGACTGAAAACAATAAGAAAATGCCTAGAAGTCAGGCCTAGAACATTAAATGGTAATAGACTCCAAACAACAGCAGAAGGTAGAGTTGATTAAAATGTATCTTTGGGGCAAGAGTAGAAATGATTGTGTGTGTGTGTGTGTGTGTGTGTGTGTGTGTGTATTTGTGGACAATTTCCTTTTACTTATTCCTAATGGTTCTGAAATTTAATGGATTAATGGAAATTAAAGTATGAAAATCAATTTGATGCATTACAAAAATATCACATTAAATTTCCTTCTATAAAAACACAATACCACAAATTATCAACGATAAAAACAGTACTAGCACTCTTATTTCTATATAGGTTAAAAAATAGGAAAAAAAAAAAACAACTTTCCCCTTAATCATTTTATTTAGAAACCTGTGAAATAGCCTATGGCCTGATGAGTTAAAAATTTTTAAAAGAATGCCTTTCTCAGCCTTGTCCTCTATGTCAGGGGTTTGACTGTGTAACTCAGAGGCTGAATATATTATTTTAGTTTACCCAATCATCACTTTTCTTGTTAAGTTGCAAGTTACCTTTAAAATGTCAAATATCAAATTTAGTTATATACTTTTTTTCCACTCCACGAGATGAAGCATTATCATTCCATGCATCAAAATATTTCCAAGTGATGTGATTTCACCTGTAGAATTTCTGACTAACTGGGGTTTGGTATCCAGGGCTATAGTATTATTATTAGTGAACAAGCTAAAGAGCAACATACAATACGTAGTGCAAAACAGGGTTCCCTCATTGTGAAATCAGTGCAGCCCCTCTGTTACAGGCAACGTTTATGCAACAAAAGGAGTGTTTCAATAAATGTCCAAACTAAGCCAGGAGAACAATCTGGGAGATGATGATAATGAAATCTTCATATTATTGGTTAAACACAGGCATAGAGGAAAAGGACAACAGTCCAATTACTTAGTATACCAAAGGACTTTTCTTTAAAGAGATAACCTATGGATCAGAATTCCCTGTAGTTACTGGCAGAATATAAAATAGTACTTTTGACCTTGAGGAGTTACAAGCTGGCCTGTCAACAGGAAACCAGAAATCTAACTTTCAAGTGATTGTAAAGTGTCAGCAAATATCAACTTCTCTCACCACTGAATAGAAAGGGATAAAAAGGGTGAGAGAAAGGACTTGCATCTGTCACTTCATTAGTAATAAAGAACTTGGTTTTTACTCAGCTGAACTTCATATCTAATGCTTATTTCTGGTTAACATGATTCTATTCCTAAACATGTCTTCCCATTACTAAATGTTCAGCAGTTTGCTCTTCAAGGTTAAAATAATGAGACATAGAATGCGTATTCCTTTGGCAGAGGATGAGCAGTTTCAACACAAAGTGCTACTAAAATTAAAATGTTTACATATGCATTTAAGAGCTATATGCTACCAGGATTTACTACATATCTGAAGTTTGGGGAAAATACTCTTTGAAAATACACAAGAAGGCCGGGCATAGTGGCTCACGCCTGTAATCCCAGCACTTTGGGAGGCCAAGGCAGGCAGATCATGAGGTCAAGAGATCGAGACCATCCTGGCCAACATGGTGAAACCCCCGACTCTACTAAAAATGCAAAAATTAGCTGAGCATGGTGGCGAGCACCTGCAGTCCCAGCTACTTGGGAGGCTGAGGCAGGAGAATCGCTTGAACCTGGGAGGCGGAGGCTGTAGTGAGCCAAGATTGCGCCACTGCACTCCAGCCTGGTGACAGAGCAAGACTCCGTCCCAAAAAAAAAAAAAAATTAAAAATAAAAAAGGAAAGAAAATACCAATAAAATTAGGCAACGAGTAACGTACTTTTGAAAATTCAAAACCTTTTTATTTCTAAATTAAGGTTCAAAACAGATCCCACCTCATTTATTTTGCTGCTTTATTTTGTAGTCCAAGATTGGGCAACTGATATTCAGTCCCATGCACTACTTGAGCCAGTCTTGACTGAAACAGGAATCACATCAAAAGATGAGGCAACACAATCAGGTGGGTTTCAAAATCAAGTTTCATTTCTTATGCCTATGACTTGGGCTCTCATTTCAGTTCCTTTCAGACAAATCAGATCCAAAACTTAAAGCTTAAACAGCAAGGACTGAGTTTTATTTGCTCCCTAATATCTCTCATTGTTATTTCCCACTTAACAGAACTGGCTTTCTAGAACCATGGAAGGCTGGAAGTAAAGCTGGGCTCTAACTCTCTTCCCTCCCCCAGGGGAACATGTGGCCTTATCACTCCTGATTGTTTTAAGAATGGTGTGCTGGAGCAGGCCCAAACTAGCGCATTATTTTGTCAAATCTTCAGGAATTCTGCAAACTTATTCAACATAGCCATTATTAAAAATTAAATTATATAAATATACAATGGAATTAATTATGTGAAAAACAGAAGTAGTAAATACTCAAAGGTCAACAGCTTCAGTATTCTTTTCCAAAAGCCACAGCTATACATTACCACAAAGTTACCACAAGTTTTGTAGGTTGGAAGTCTGAAGTCAAATTGTTCCCAGGCTCTCTCTGAATGCTCAGGAAGGGGGAAAGGGGGAGGAAATTCCTCCTTGCTTTTTCCAATTTCTGGTGATTGCCGGTAATCCTTGGCATCCCTTGGTTTGTGCCAGTATAGCTTCAATTTCTGCCTCTGTCTTCACAGGGCCTTCCGTGTGTCTCTTCTCTGTCATCAAATCTTTCTCTCCACTGAAATTGGGACTCACCATTATCCAGTATGACCTCATCTTAACTTCATTACGTTTGCAAAGACCCTATTTCCAAATAAAGTCCACATTCACAGGTACCAAAGGTTTTAGAATTTCAACATATCTTTTTTGAGAGAGACAATTCAATCTACAACTTCATAACTTAAGTAAAATTTACCACATTTTACTCTTATGTTCTTGGACTTGCTTACCGCCCCCTTGCATGGGTATGGCGTAAATTCCATCCAATGATGTGCTACTGAGCATTTCTCCCCAACTCTATACTTAGCTGTTATCGTTAGTCATATTGCATTGATAACTTGAAAACAGAGTGGAAATGTTTATACTATGGAAACCAGCAAACACCACAAATCAAGGCTCAATTTATTATTTTGACTGAAAATACAAATCTCCTCTATAGGGCCAGAGAATAAATATTTATACTTTGTGCACCATATGTTTTCTGCAGCAACTACTCAACTCTGTGGTTCTAACATAAAAGTAGACACGGACAATACACAAACAAATAAGCTAGTAGTACTCCATCAAACTTTATTTAGAAAGACAGGTGGTAGGCCAGATTTACCCTGTGGGCTGTAGTTGGTGACCCTTAGTCTAGGGTTAAGAAAGTAATGGAGAAAATATTAAAAATATAGATAAATTTCAAACTCATGTCAGTAGCTGTAACATTATTAATAGTACAAACAAAATTAAGAAATATTATCTTAGTGCTTGAAAACAATTATTTGAATCAGCAAAGAAGTTGGCCATTGGTGAATTAGTGACGTTCCAATATATTTATTGTTTTGTCTTATGAATGTAAATTAAAATACCAATATTCATGTCAGAATGTGCTGTAGTAGTTGATCAATTATTACCAGCACATTGGCAATAAATACCAGAGTTTGACAAAAATCAAGGGAACAGTCTTCAAAAATCAATTGGCTGTGTAAAATTTACAATAAAGAATATCACATATTTTGTTACTATTTGTAACTTGTGTCCTATGTATTATAACATTTATGCTAAACTTATGTATCCATATATGTGCATACTTTTTTTTCTGGAGAGTCATTTGTTAAACATTTCTTAGCACATTGCTGCCCAAACCACTAACATTTGTCATAATTCCTGCAAATGCCAGTATTCATATTGGCAATGTAAACTCTGATAGGATACTGATATGAACCAAAAATGTAAAAAGAGAGTGAAGTAGCAGAATCTTTTACCACTTCCTAAGATTGGTAAGAGCTGTACCTCTCAAAGACAAGTTCTATCAGCATTAATATATATGTGATTAGGAAATTAGAGCCCAGAGAAAGCTTCACACATAAATCTGCTTCCTTTTCAGGATTAAACTTGAGACTTTTATTAGATTGTGATCTCTTTCTGCAAATTCATGTAAAACACAATACCTACCCAAAAGAAGAGACTTAAAGGTGCAATGACCACCTAAGTTACATCTGAATTCGTGACGTTTTTGGTACAGATGGTTTGGACCTTGTCTTGCTGCCTTCATTAGGGCAAGCCAGGCTGGATTGTTTCTTTTTTGCTTTTCAAAGGGCATTGACTTATTTGTATACTTAGCCCAAGCTTCATTTCTTTATATGTAAAATAAAGATTGTCAAGGGAGCACTATAAATATTAGAGAATTTGCACTATAAATATTAGAGAATTAAAGCAAGGAAAACAAAGACAATGCTTATTACATAAGTGCCCAGTAAATACATGCTATAACAATTGCTCCCATGAATTCTGCTATTACTAACATAAATATTAATTTTTCTAGGAGGTCTCAGTTTTCTGAGAATCCAAGTATCCTATGTCAGTTGCTATAGATAGGTAGAAATGACATCTATAATATGAAATATAAATAATACAATTTTTGTTCATTTTTCCTAAAGACATTCCAATGTATAAGCAACATGACTTTTTCTTGTGGTATCATGGCATAAAATATCTCATGGCAGAAACTATTTTGGTCTCACATAATTATGTCCATTCATCCAAGTACCTACTCTGGCCAATGTCAGTAGGTAGAAATGCATGTTGAATTCCATCTCATGGAGATCACTGCCTGTAAAATCAAGCCATCAGCGAAGAAGTGGTTATGGCATGATCATTTTTACATTGTGTGACACGTTCCTGTTGTACTGTCAACAAACATAAACTTTACTCTCCACAAGGAGAGTTTCTGTAAACTGTATGTCACACTAATGCTTTTATTTTGCATGCTTCTTTTCCTCAGAGAAATTCCTTTTACCTTTATTTCTTTACTACGATTCTAATTCATTTCTGACTGACACGCTGACAAATCTATTCAATTTCTTTATATTATTGTACAGCCATTGATTATTCAACATACTTGAGCTCCCTATTTTTCTTTTTTAAAATAAATACTGCTCCTATTGTCTGCACAGAGATGGCTTTGAATATGCATTTAAGTTCAAAAGGGAAGTAGATGTCCCCTATATTAGGCTTGCCATGTCTAATTTGAAATTTATAGCTTGACTTTGCACAGTTAATTGAAATCATTTCCTCATCATCAAAAATATCCTTTAGAATTTAACATTTATCAGAATCAATAAAGTGTGGTTTTAAAGACAAGTTTGGCATATCTGTCTATACATAATAACTGAACACAATATTGCCATACCAATGGTGTCTTAAGGTCAATTTAAGCCAGGTCAGACCAATGGAAAATCGGTCTAATCACAGTGGGAAAGAAAGAGTGACACTTTACTAGGTGGTTGGATAACATGCTATCTGTACTATCTCTTTTCTCCAAACTCTTTATTTCTTTCATCCTAAAGACGTTCCACACTCTGTTCCTCAAGGCCACATTACAATTCTCCATTCATCTTGACTTCTGATTAATTTATAAGCATTGTTCTTTCTGCCACTTGGCTCCCTGCAGGCATTCATATTCTAACTCATCAATGCTTAGTTTCCTTTCCTGCTTAAATGGGACCATAATGCGTAGGGAGACAAGGATATATTCAGAATTGCCTTCTATTTGAAACAATGGATCTATCTCTTTCTCATCATCTTTGAGGGCAGGGACCTCACTCACCTAAGCCTCTGCACAGTTTTAGACACATAATTGGTACTAAGCTTGTATTTGTTGACCAACAAAATTAATGAAATCCCATAAAGGTGCCGATTTATACTTTAATTTCTTATGTTCTATCACCATAATTTAAAAAAATGTTCTTGAAGGGCTCAACTTGCTTTCTATTTTGCTAAGACCATTCTTCCTAGCGTCTACATTTGCTTCTGAAATTGGTTCCTTCCTTGCTGAAGTGTCACCCCTGGTGATTATAAACTTTGGTGTATGTCATTCATAGATCAATATTTTATAAACTGAAAAATTGAAAACTTTGATTCATGACATCACTTCACTAATGTTTTAAAATATATCCCAGTTCAGTATTATAACAAAAATGAAAGCAAAACAAACTTAAGTAGCCTTTGTTTTATACACCTGTTTAAGCCAGGTTGGATAAAACAAAGTTAATTTTTCAGTGAGCCTTGCAAACTACATTTAAAAAAAAAAATGCACAGATCTGACCCATCACATGAAAAGGCAAAAAAATTACAATGGACAATTGTGTTGATGACCATTCTATGGCCAAATAAATCAAGTATGACAGCATTACATGCTTCTGACATGATTCTTAGTTATTTCTAGGCTTAACACTATCTTGCACGTTTTATTTTCCATGTGTGGCAAGAAAGAAGTGCAAACATTCCAAATTCAGTAATCACATTGGTATCTCAATAGTTTGTTCATTTATTATAGATAGATAGGTATGCATACTTGTCTTCAGAACCACACACTCATGCACTCTCCATTACCTCCTTTATTTTAAAAACCTGGGAACAAGTGTCGAATTTATGTTTAAAAATGTCCAGCAATCCAACACAAGTTAATACTTTTATTATTGATATTCCTTTAGTTTTTTAAATCGTCATTGATTGATTAGTTTATCTTTTTATTGTTGTTCTGTTTTACCTTCTCATACTGAGTTTCCAATAACTGTTAGATGACAGAACTGCTGCAAAATGGGTATCTTACCCTATTTTGGCCTGAATCCATCAATGTTGCACATATACCAAATCAAGGCATAAGTAACTCTGTTCTTCACGTTCTGTAATAGCATAAGGCAGCATCATATTTGTTGGTGTTTAGTGTCCTTTAACTGTTATAACTAATGGAGACTCTCTTCTCGGAAATTGAGTGGGGAAGGCATTCCTGTAGAGTGTGCCATTTCCAGACAATGTTCTCTTAATTTTTTAATGCAACTATTATTGTGATTTATAATTGCATCAGAGGTTCTTCATAACCTTTTTCAGGATATGTTTGTTGTTATTAGTGAAATCCTTAAGTCTTTGGAAGAGATGTTTTACAACCCTATTTAATAATATAACACTTTCCTGAAAAATGGTGCAATCTTATAACTTATTTTAACAGATCAGATTTATACCTGCCAACTTTAAAGAGCTTCCTAAACTTAAAGAGCCCGACGTTGGGGGCATGTTGAATTTGAGGGGATTTATTTTATTATGCAGATTTGGAAAAAATACAAAATATCTATTGTTTTATATATCGTAATTCTGAACTGTTTCCTACATCAGAGGATTCACAAGTTACTGCCTATGATATGGTTTAAAGACATTGGTAAATTGTTGAAGTTCTTTCTTATATCATCATATTTGGATTAAAATTGTCTGCTAATTAATGAATTCTAACTGGGTGGAGCATATCAAAATGTGTTTTCTATATCTATTGTATCAGCTTGAGTTAACAAAGACTAGTAGCTATCTGGGAGAAGGCAGAAATATTTTATTAATAGGAAAAATATGTTCAAACTACATTGGAGCTCCAGCATTACAAAATCTTTTAAATAGGAAATTCAGCAGAAGGAGTCTCTATTGGACTATGTCTGTAAGGTCTATTATCCAAGGTACTGGAAGGAGCTTGCTATGAATACATTTCAGTCTTGTAGTATGCATCTTGAGAATAGTGGATTAGTAAGGCTCCAGCATATGAATTATATATGCCTCTTGATAGTGTATCAGCACAATAATTGTTAAGACAGAATTTCAATAAATTCCTCCTCTTACTCTTCCCCAAATTCCTCAAAAGCAGGTTTTGGTTATGGTAAAGTTTTGGCCATTATTTCTTATGTATTCAAAAAGTTAGGGAGAAAAGAAAAATCAACGCAAAGAAATACATTTAACAAAGTTAAATATTAGTTTAGAATTAGATACTTATTTATGTATATTTTTTAAATTATTAGATGCCAGAGGTAGAGCTTAAAAAAAGTTTTGGCTAGAATTTAGAATCTGTCACTCTAATATTTATTCAATGTATACAGAACAAGTTCATGAGTAATCTGAAAGTCAACAATGGAAGCGGGAGGGTCTACTGAATTACTTCTGGAATAACACAAAGAAAATGTAAGGGAATCAAACCAGATAGATACCACTGGGCACAGAGATGTTAGAATTTGTGGCCAACATAATGATTTTATTTTATTTTTTAATAAAGCACCTGGGAATTATCCCTATGGTAATAGGAACTTAAAAGGTAGGGTAATGAATCCAGGTGAACTAATCAAGTCATAACATCAATTATCAGAAAACCTCTCAGACTCTGAATTTATATATATTCTGTTACAAAATAATAAAAACAGGGCATAAATTATTGAAGGTGTTTCATGCTAGAAGCAACATCAGACTTTATAATATTTGGAAACAATTTCTAATTTCGGGATTATAGATGTCAGCAAGTATTCATTCCAGCTACATGCAAAAAAACCCCAAACACACTACTTTGTGTCCACATTCTAGCAAAAAGCTGTTCTGGCAAAGAAAACATGACTATAGGACATGAAAAATTATCTTAGAAGAGCAGAAAAGTATCAATACATATCAGCAAGTTCTTTCTTGTGTTTTTTTTTAAGATAGAGTAAGCATTAATCATGGAATTTTGAAAGGAATGAAGAAGAAAGTGGGAAGAAAGGTAGGACAGAAGAAAGGAAAGAGAATATCCACTAAAGCTATAATGAACATCACAAAACCCTAAGGTTTTGTTAATGTTACCCTCTCAAATTTTCTGGAATATTTGCAGGTTAATAGGATGATCTCTATATTGGTAATTCGTGGGGGCACATAAATAATCAGCTATTATATATACTATTTAGGTATTTTATAAAATTCTTATTAAATTCAGACCTTGGGTGAAATCATCCAGAAACTGATATTCCAGCAAAATATTACTTAAATGTCTTTAGACAATAGGATGTGAATTTTCAGCTTTGACATATTAATGTCAGCCAAAATATACCCTTTTAAAAACCCTTCTGCTTCTTTCTGCCCCCTAAAGTATCTGAATTGAAGTTGTAGACTCTCTTAGTGTTTACTCCAGGCTAATTATGCGTGGTGGCCATGTCTCATATTGGCATCCCATGTTACACAATTTACAATATACTACTTAATTTACTATCTGATTAGATTGTTTTGTTGTGTAGGGAGACTCACATGGAACATATTTCATTATCTTAGCTCCGAGAAGAACACTGTGGAGATTGAAATGGGTTTAAATTGGCATGCCTCACATTATGCTAGGTTTCAAAAAGACAGAGCCCAGGTGCTTTTAGCTAAATCAGACAAACGAACTTGCCAAAATTCTCCAATATACCATTCCTTGGCTACACTTGAATATAGTCCTATATAGAGGCCGCCTCCTTAGCTGGAAAGAAGGGACATTTTGAGAGATAAGAGATTAAGAGGAGATTAAGAAAATTCAATCATTGCTGCAAAAACAGAATAAGAAATTCCATCTTCACAATATCATAAGCGAAGCTATTTATATCTAGCATTCACTGCAGCATTTCCTCAGGTTTCAAACTCTCTTACAAAACATTTGTACAGTTTCTACATCTTTCTCGGATGTCCTATGGTTTTCCTCTCAACAAACACCACAGGCAGAAGAGAACCACTTGTGGCTTCCCGCATACTCTGTTCCATGGCCTGTCTGACTTATTGCATAAACTTAGGCTTTCCTCTGTGAGTCCCTTTAGCAGAAATTCAAAGCTTTCTTTAAATTTCATCACATGTGCTGGTGGCTACTCACATACATAATCCCTACATGTAACTAGTGGTGTAGGAAAGGGAGGCCACAGGCTTTGTATTTTATGAGGTAAGCAGAAAAAATACATATGCCATCTAGAAAACTGCTTCTAGCATTCATTATAGAATTGGCACAACTTGTTTGCAGAAAATAAACATGCACACAGAATAATAACAATAGGTAGAAATAAAAGGGGAGACTTTGAGAGCTCTGAAGCTGATAGTAAGAAGCGAAAAGGCTTGGTCTAGGTGGGAAAAGGGCCCAAAGAAAAAAAAAGCGTGTGTGTGTGTGTCTGTGTGTGTGTGTGTGCATGTGTGTACGTGTGCATGTCTGTGTGTGCGCACGCATGTGTGTGTATTAAAAACGGAGAAGGCAGATGAAGAAATACAAAGGAGAGGAAGGAGTTGCAGAAAGAGACGACAGGAAAGAATGTAAAACTTCTATGGCAGGAGCGCCAAGAGAGATACACCTTAGGAGAGCAAGAAAGCTTTTGGAGAACTTTAAAGCCTAATTAAAAAAAAATGAGCCTTTTGAGAGGCAAGGCCTAATATGTGATTAACTGTGCTATTATCAGCACTGCTGTACAGATGACTACTCTTGCATGAGTGAGTGACTGGATATGAAAAAAGGGAATGAGTTTCCTGTCTGTGTTGACATGGTAAAGAGCAGAGACTGCAGGAAGGTATCTCATACCAACCTAGATCCCATTAGGGATTTGCAGAAATCTCATTGGAAACATTGATCCTTCATAGAATGTGGAACTGCAGTTGAGATCATAACAGTTTTTTTCTTTTCTGGAATTCAAGGGGCAGCTTGCGTCTAAAAGAGGTCTAGCTGACATCTATCTGCATCCAGAAGTTTGGGTAAAGTAAATGAGTAAAATGAGGCAAGCAAGAGACGTTGGGGATGATGGAGACTGTGGGAACCTGAAGTATCCTGCCATTTCTAGATGGCTCTGCTGCTTCTTACTTTCACAGTGTGTGAGCCACGTGAGTGTGTGCACTCAGTGTTGCTACAGTTACTATTTTTTTTTCCAAGAGAAGCTCCAAATCTAAATATTTAGATAAAAATCTCTTCATTTAAAAAAAATCTGTGGGCCAGATAGATATGAGATTTACCAGTTTGCAAACTTTCCTGTACATCTTAGCTGAAATTTCACTCTTTCATATACAACCAATTAAAACAGCACATAAATCAGTTCTTTTTCATCTTACAAATAACACAAACCCAAAATGTTCAGTTTTCCCTTCCTTAAGGAATGGGTCTCATTTAATATTCTAAGACTGAGTCTCAGACAGTACATCTGTATTTCAGAAAGGATATTCAGGAACTTGACAGTATCAGAAACAGTGGAATGTCCTCTGCATTGCTAGATGGGACTTTCTTCTCTGAAAAGGGCAAAGGTGTGAAGCAGCTATCTCCTAGGGTAGGGTCCTAGAAGGCACCTCCTGATACTACAAATATGTACCACTGAGCTAAACTCAGTTACATGGTCACAACTTGCTGTAAAAAATAAAATAAAGGACGTTGAAAATATAGACCTTTTCTGACTGCTCATTTGCCTGTCTAAAAATTCTATTATCTTGGAGGAAGAATAGACCAGAAATCTTGGAAGGAACAGCACAATAGATCCCTCTGTATGTTTGGTATTAGAGTGTGGCTATAACAATGACAATTTCCCACCATTCCCACATCCATTCAAAACCCTGAACATCATTAAAATAATCCACTAGATGAAGCATTATTAATTTCACTCATTCTCAATTAATTTGTGGGTGACCTGAAACAGCAATAAAGTTAAATGAATTTTTTAAACATATGGAGCCATTTCAAAAATAGTTTTTGAAACATTAATTTTTAATTAAGAAATATTTCAAAACTAGAGAAAAGCAGAATAATAGGTATTACAGATACTCATGTATCCCACCAGCTAGAGTTAACAAGTGTTAAAATATTGCTGTATTAGTTCTCTATTTCTTGAAACAAATTTTTAGATAAAAGCCGAGTATGCAAAGCTCATGTGGAGCTGAATTGTTTGCAGATAAAGGAAGGCTCAGAATCTCACTCATTGGGCAACCCCTATTGCCCCCAAACCTTCAATGTTCTGCTGAGTGGTGAACAAGCAAGAGTCAATCAGGTGTCGATAATCAAAGATAAAGAAATACTACTTTTAAGTTTATTCGAATTTAAACATTATGCTAGCTGAATTTATATCCTCCAAAAATTTGTTTGTTAAAACCTAATGCCAAATGTGATGGCATTTGAAGATGGGCCCTTGGAAGGTGATTTGGTCATGATGACAGAGCCCTCCTGAAGGGAAATAGTACCCTTATAAACGAGGGCAGATAGCTCCTTTGTTCCTTTGGCCATATGAGGATACAGCAAGATCATTGTCTATGAACAAGGAAGCAGGCCCTCGTCACACACCAAATCTGTTGGTACCTTGATCTTGAACTTCCTAGACTCTAGAACTGTAACCATCTGATCTTTGACAAACCTGACAAAAACAAGCAACAGGGAAAGGATTCCCTATTTAACAAATGGTGTTGGGAAAACTGGCAAGCCATATGCAGAAAACTGAAACTATACCCCTTCCTTACACCTTATACAAAAATTAAGTCAAGATGGGTTAAAGACTTAAACATAAGACCTAAAACCATAAAAACTCTAGAAGAAAACCAAGGCAATACCTTTCAGGACATAGGCACGGGCAAAGACTTCATGACTAATACACCAAAAGCAATGGCAACAAAAACCAGAATTGACAAATGTGGTCTAATTAAACTAAAAAGCTTCTGCACAGCAAAGGAAACTATCATCAGAGTGAACAGGCAACCTACAGAATGGGAAAAAGTTTTTGCAATCTATCCATCTGACAAAGGGCTAATATCCAGAGTCTACAAGGAACTTAAACAAATTTACAAGAAAAAAACAACCCCATCAAAAAGTAAGCAAAGGATATGAACAGACACTTCTCAAAAGAAGGCATCTATGTGGCCAAAAAACATATTAAAAAAAGCTCATCATCGCTGGTCATTAGAGAAAAGCAAATCAAAACCACAATGAGATACCATCTCACACCAGTTAGACTGGCGATCATTAAAAAATCAGAAAACAACAGATGCTGGCAAGGCTGTGGAGAAATAGGAACGCTTTTACACTGTTGGTGGGAGTGTAAATTAGTTCAACCATTATGGAAGACAGTGTGGCGATTCCTCAAGGATCTAGAACCAGAAACACCATTTGACCCAGCAATCCCATTACTAGTTATATACTCAAAGGATTATAAATCATTCTACTATAAAGACGCATTAACACCTATGTTTATTACAGCACTATCCACAATAGGAAAGACTTGGGACCAACCCATCAATGATAGACTGGATAAAGAAAATGTGGCACATATACACCATGGAATACTATGCAGCCATAAAAAGAATGAGTTCATGTCCTTTGCAGGGACATGGATGAAGCTGGAAACCATCTTTCTCAGCAAACTAACACAGGAAGAGAAAACCAAACACTGCAGTTTCTCACTCATAAGTGGGAGTTGAACAATGAGAATACATGGACACAGGGAGGGGAACATAACATACCGGGACCTACTGAGGGGTGGAAGACTAGGGGAGAGAAAACATTAGGAGAAATACCTACTGTAGATGATGGATTGGTGGGTGCATCAAACCACCATGGCACATGTATACCTATGTAACAAACCTGCAAGTTCTGCGCATGTATCCCAGAATTTAAAGTATAATAATAACAAAATTTTTAAAAAGAAAAATAAATGTGTGTTGTTAAAGCCACCTATTCTATGGTATTTTTGTTATAGCACCCTGAACAGACTAAGGCATTTCTCAAATGTAAATTTTCTACACATGTAGGAACAATAAGTCTACAATACAAGCACACTTCTTCCTTCCTGCCTGCCTGCCTTCACTTCTTCCTTCCACCTTTCTCTCTCCCTGCCTCCTTCCTTCCTTTTCCCCTCTCTTCCTCCATTCCTTCCTTTTTTCCTTCTGTTTCCTTTTAAAGGAGTTACTGGTCTTATTTATTACACATGAAAACATTATGTGTTCTGACTTTGTTATTTATTTATGCTCGAGTGGCTTCAGGAAATTTCTGAAAACTCTTTGGCTCAATTAGAAAATGAATCTGAATGCCTATCTATTACACTTTCAGAAGTAAACTGTGCTATATAACTTCAAAATCATCAGTCAGAATACTATGTATCTTTAAAATATTACATGATTGGTTATAATCTAACAAGTGTTTCATTTTTTTCCATAAAGTCAAATACATTTAAACTTCACCAAAAAGCAATAACAAAATGATGCTAGAATGAAAAAACACAACTACAGTAGAATTAACTCTAGTCTATGATCTTTTATGCCTGAACTTAAATATGGGTCACATTCAGACGCCTAGCTTGATACCGCTGTAATTTTAAGCACTGCTTTGGCAGTACTGGATTTTAATAATAAGAATACTAATTACATAGAGAGGTGAAACTCACAATTCTAAAACAGAAATTCACCCAGAGTTTCTCTTGCCACTTGGGCCATGAGCTACTTAAACAATATTGAACAGTATGGTAGTTGTCATGCAGAAAAGACGGGTCTCAACATGTCAGGTAGTTTATTTCTGTGCAGCACAGCTAAAACAAACACTTCATTTTGCCCTGAAAAACTAAATTTGTCTAATTTACCTGTGACACAAGCCCCCTGAGAGTTTCTGAACAAGTTTTATACAATATATTATTCCACATGCTTCAAAAGGAAGAAATAAATATGATACGACTTACCCTTACCTTTCTTCCAGTAACTCCCGCCTTCATTCACTCATCATTTCTAAAGGAAGAAAAAGCAAGAAGTGTTCATTGTTCATGTACCTACCAGTTGTAACTTAATGCAGAATATAATTCAAATTAGCTGCTGAATGGCAGCTTTGCTTAAAAAAAAAAAATCTTTGACGAGTTGTTGAAAATTGTTTTAATGTTTGCTATCATTAACCATCCACTTTACCAGTTGTAGACCAAAGTAGATCGGGACACATCTGTTCAGGAAACCTAGACTGCTCCCTTTTTCTTCAGAATCCATCTGTCTTTAGATTTTGAGTTAAATACAGTATTTGGATCTATATTTCATTTTGGAATTTAAAAAAATTTCTTTAAATACACTGGAAAAAAGAACACATGAACCAATTTTCCCTTTCCTGTTATTTACTTATGTCAACCCCCTCTCCCATTTACTCTTATTTCTTTAATTGTCTCATCCCTAAATACATCTACGTTAATTTAGGAGAAACAATCAGGCAGCCAAATTCAATATGTACCGAGCAAAATGGATACTGGGAACTTTGCAAGTTAGGCATATATGCTCATCTAGTGAAATGAGGGAAAGGAGAGGGTGGGTATAACAGAGAAATAGTGAAATTAAATTCTCAGATCCCAAAGAGTTAATTTACGCATCGAAGCATGTGCGTCTGAGAAATGGATTCTATTTATTTGGAATACTTTTAAAAAGTCAGAAATCAAAAGAGAATGGTTTGATATCCAGTGCATTTTGATAGAATTCTGAAAAATAAGTAAACATTGAGGTTTGTTAAGCACTGGAGAGTTACCTCTTTTTCTAATTGCAATTTTATTGAAGTCAAAGTTGAGCACCCTCGTGGGGCCTCACTGCTATTAGAATAACAAGTTATGGCTGGCCAAAACACACTGGCTCTTCAGCCACTGGGCAAAACAGACGATAAAACAGCAGTGAAATAACAAGTTGGCAGCATCACTTCCTTCTATCATATGTTGACAAAGAAAAATAATGAAAGCTGCACTAACAACTGTACTTAAGACAAAAATGCATTTATATGAAATACTTGATTTGGAGGCAATCAGAATTTTCATTTATACCAGCTTGTTACCAGAGTGGTACCAACAGGCCTTAGTAATTAAAGGTGTCATTTACGCCCAGACTCTTGGCGAGAGAAGTAAAAATTCACCCCCTGTTTCTTGAGAATTGCTGTTTTCTAATCATTTTGAAACAGAAGGTGACTAACATAGTCACCTCCCCACTTTGTATTATACAAATAGCTCATCTTGGGAACAGCTTCTGAGGCACCAAACATCCCCTCCACATCTCACCCCAGAAGGTAACACATTTCATTTTGTGCGTCCCTCCCAATTCTGGCTGGCATTCCTTTAAGGAGACCTGGCTCTGAACTTTCAGAAGAATGTGATGTTTTACGTTAACACCAAAAGCTCTATACGCTGAGGAAGAAAACATCAAGTGATGGAGGTTCAAACAAAGTTCTAATCTTTACAGTCCTTTAGTATTTATATTTTAAAAACGGAGGCATAATTCATTTCTGATGAAACTGAATTGCTCAGCTCTCCACTAATAGGATCCTCAGGGCAAAAAGGGTAGAGTAAGAGTCATCATAAAAAGCAGAAGCTTCACAATTTTTTGAAATTTAAGCTTGAAAAAAATTAATAATTAGGTTTGTCATGATTACTGCACTTTATAATAAATTGTTCTTATTTAGTGAATGGGATAACAAACTTGAGTGACCTGGAAGATTAATAAAAGACAAGTAATATTGGCCTAAGAAGCACTGGTGACCATTCCTATTTTGTTAAGGAAGCCAACAAGCCACGTGCAGGTGTAATGGCACATCACAATTTTTTTACCCTTTCTTCTTATGCTTTTTCTCCCCCCTAGAATTAATTTGACTGTTTCCCAAATGTTTTCCACCTGAAAGCTGACCAGTGCGAAGACCTTCTGCTCTCGCCCCAGAACTGTAGCAGAGTTTCCATCTGGTGCGAACACTTTTTTTTTTTTTTTTTTTTGGAGCGTAATCATGGTGATTTATTTTTCAATCAGTCACATAATCAAAGGAATGCTTAAATATCTTTTACTGTCATTGTGGAGGGATGGAGCAGCATTCTACAAAAGAATCATCACTAAAGCAATGGAGATCCATCTGCCTAATTATCCAGCGATGAAGATCGCCTTTAGTAAGCACAATATTAAAACTGTTTTGGGTTCTTCAAAGGTGCTGCATTTCCATCATCTTCCCTTGAAAATAATGAAAGGGAAGACACAATAATAGAGTGTTAAAGTGGATGGCATGTAGCAAGGGCTCCAGGCAAGCTTTGTGTTTCCTCCTGTGAAAAGTATCACCATTTATTATCACTCATTAAAATTTAATTTTATATGGCATCTTTAAAAGGTCATTTTTTAAATTGGAATTTTGTCGGCAACATTACTGACTAGTTAACTACTGTGAAAAAAACAAACTTTCATAGATCTATTGTTTTAAGCTATTATTAAAGAGGCACCTTAAAAAAACATAACAAATTATTTCCTTCCTATAGAGCAAGATTATTCTCCTTTCTAAGTAATTTAGTTTACACAGTATTTTCAGTTGATTTTCATACTAAAAGAACCTTGGAAACCTAATTAGAAATAGAAAATCATTAGCATATAAAGGGTTTAAACCTATAGCTTAACTATGACAAATTTAAACCAAGACTGTGACGGTAAAATGCAAATCGCTCTAGCATGGAAAGTGGAGAAGTTTAACTTATATCTCTTCTTTGTACTTACTTCAATCAAAGTCTATTATTTTTCTACTGAATCTTATTTTATTATAGACTATGATTACTTTGACTTCTAGTCTAAATTGGTTTTATGTAGCTGTACAGTTGTAATAAATATTAATACTTATACTATCAATATAAAAGAAACCCATTATTGTCCAAAAGGAAAGAGAAACATTTTTTATAGCACCAAAATTTTCAGGCACTTTATATACATTTTATTCTTTAATCATATAAAAAAGTTGAGATAGACATTAAGCCCATTTTGGTATCAAGGAAACTGATGTTTAGGAAAGATTAAGAGACATATGCTAAAACCATGCAAGAAGTTAGTTTAATAGGAAAGCTAGATCTAACCCAGATCTCCCTGGCTCCAGTAGAATTTCCAATACCTAGGCTATCTCCTAAAGAAAGTATATCTATTTTCACAAAAAGAGAAGTCAGCTAACTTTCTGTTAAGAGAAAAATCGCAAGTATTTTCTACTTTTCAGGATATACCATCTATGTAGCAACTACTCGATTTTGCCTTTGCAGCAAAAAAGCAGCTATAGATAAAATGTAAAGGAATAGGCTAGCTGTGTTCAAACAAAGCTTTCCTTTCAAAATTTGGGCAGCAGGCTAGGTCAAAGGGTCACAGTTTGCCCTGCACTCGAGTATAAGCTATGTAAAGGCATAAACTTTATTTGTTCAATATTATATAATCCGATGTCTAAAAAAGCAATGATGAACTAATGATATTAAAAATAATACTAATACTAATTTTGAGTTTGTTATGTGCTGGCTGTTTTTGCACGCAATAACTCATTTCTTCTCATAATATCCCTGCAAGTTAGTTACTATTTTTTACCCATTTTAGGAGATAACAGAACTGAGGAATGAATAATTAATTGGTCAAGATAATTCAGCAAGTAAGTCGGGAATCTGGGATTTAAATAATAAAAATCCATAATACACAGTAAGATCTCAATCAATAATTGATTAATTAAACAAATGAATAAATGAATGATTGAATGAATCAGTATAGGGAATTAGTCCTGGGTATTTTGAGTAAAAAATATATATCTTGGTAATTTAGGAGATATCATTCTTCCAAATGGTCTAGATTTACATAGCCAGAGGCAAATTAAAAAAAAAAAAAAAAAAAAAAAAGAGAGGCAAATCAAATGAAGGAAAATGTTAATCTGCTATTGAGCATATATTTCTGAATTTCAATTAAATAAACTAATGTCTGGTACGGTTTCAATGTGCCGTCCAAAGACTCATGTGTTGGAAACTTAATCCCCAATGCAACAATGTTGGGAGGTGAGGCCTAATAAGAAGTGATTGGGTCATAAAGGCAGAGAGCTCTCATGAATGGGTTGACACTGATAATGCAAGTGGATTAGTCATTGTAAGAGCGTGTTGTTGGCCAGGCACGGTGGTTCACACCTTTAATCCCAGCACTTTGGGAGGTCGGGGCGGGCGGATCATGAGGTCAGGAGATCAAGACCATCCTGGTTAACATAGTGAAACCCCGTCTCAACTAAAAATACAAAAAATTAACTGGGCATGGTGGCGGGAGCTACTCTCAGCTACTTGGGAGGCTGAGGCAGGAGAATGGCATGAACCTGGGAGGCGGAGCTTGCAGTGAGCCGAGATTGCGCCACTGCACTCCAGCCTGGGCGACGGAGCGAAACTCCGTCTGAAAAAAAAAAAAAAAATAGAGTGTGCTGTTATGAAGAAGTCTGGCCTCTGGTGTCTCTGTCTTGTGCACTCACTTCACTTCCGCCTTCTGCCCTCTCACCATGAGATGACCTTGCCAGTTGCTGGCTTCATGCTCTTGGACTTCCCAGCATGCATCTAGAACTGTAAACTAAATTAACTTGTATTTTTAATAAACTATGCAGTCTGTAATGTTCTCTTCTAACAACAGAAAACAAACTAAGACATTGTCTTACCTTAAGTAAAACTGAACTTTACATAAGTAGGTGGGAAGTTTTGAATTTAACTGACAAGTCTGCATTTGTCATGAAAGAATGCAGGAAGCAAAGAAGGAAGAAAAAGGAAGGAAGGATAAAAATCTGAGAGAAGTTGAAAATAGAGATAGGAGCTAAGGGATATCTGGTGAGAAGAGAATTGTGAGGAAGACCTTTTAATCAACAGGTATTTACCAAGGGTTTAAAATCTATTGGGTACTAAGCTATGCACTGATAACACATTGATTTTAAAAAGAAAGAAAAATAATCAAGGCTGCTTTATTCATAAAGCTTACAGTATATTAAGAAAACAACATAAACATCATTTATAAAAGTATTATTACAAATCATGATAAGTGCAACAATAACCAAAAAAAAACGGATAAATGCTCTGAGAGTGTACCAGTAAAATTTAATTAAGACCTGTCACACGTGGTGGCTCATGCCTGTAATCCCAGCAATTTGGGAGGCCAAGGTGGGTGGATCACCTGAGGTCAGGAGTGCAAGACCAGCCTGGCCAACATAGTGAAACCCTGTCTCTATTAAAATACAAAAATTAGCTGGGACTGGTGGTGGGGAGCCTGTAACCTCAGCCACTTGGGAAGCTGAGGCACGAGAATTGTTTGACCCAGGAGGCAGAGGTTGCAGCGAGCCGAGATCGCGCCATTGCACTCCAACCTGGGCAACAGAGTGAGACTCCAACTCAAAAAAAAAAAAAAAAAAAAGAAAAACAAAAAAGAATGTAATTTAGACTTAGGGATTTAAGGACTCTTCGAGGAAAGGATATTTAAATTGAGAATTGCAGATGAATAAGAACTATCTGGATGAAGAGTAGGGAGAATAGCATTTCAGGCAGATGATTAACAGGAGCAAAGGTTCAGAGACGGGAAATGATTTGATATACTACATGGACTTTAAGAAATGCCAGTATGGTATATTGCTGTGAGTTGGGAGAAAAGTGGAAAAAATGACAAGAGCAAGATGGGATAATCCAACAGGGTTTGTTAATCATATCGAGAATTTAAGAGGTTATTTATTTTTCTCAGATTATATTCCAGGTTTGATGGGCAAAAATGGAAAGGATTTAAATGGTGCAAAAACAAATTTTGGTTTTTATTAAAAAATAAAAGAAAACTGGCAGGATTGGAGGCAGAAGTCAAGAAGTATCTAAGAAGGAGATATGTGGGGAGAAAGGTTAAGAGGATGTTGCAAGAACAGGCCATGAGAGAGATGCTTATGGATAAGGCTAGGGAGTGAATGGTACAGCTGAGGATGGATGGATAGATACTTTGGACATAGATGTTGACATGAATCTGTGGATTAGATGTAACAGGTGAAAGAGAGAAAATGTTTTCTGTTGGTAGAGTGGGGAGGTGGGAATTCAAGCATAAGATTTTGAACAATTTAAGTTTGAGATAGCTGAGAGACATTCAAATACAGGCGGTGGATCCTTTAGCCTATCTCTCAAAAGAGAGGTGTGGATGAGTGATAGTAAAGAGTAAATATTACCCTAAGTCATGGGTGTGGAAGACCACTTAGAAAAAGACTGTACAAAGAGAAGAGAAGAACCCTGATATTTAAGAGTGTGGCAGAAAGCGTAACTAGTGAAGAAGACTGAGAAACTGTGGTTAGAGAGGAAAAGACAAAGCCAGGCAATTGTAGTTGTATTATAGAAACCAAGAGAAGAGAGTTTTCAAGAAGGAGGCATGGTCAACCGTGTGAAATGTGGTGAGAAGCCAAGTAAAAAGTCAAGTAAGAGTAAAGTTCTTAGATTTCCAACATGGAGGTCATTGGTGTCCTTCACCAAAGCTTTCGTAGAGTCATGGGTATAGAAATAAGATGTGAGTGGTAGAGTAACAGAACAGCAAGGGAGTGACAATGTGTATCGACAACTTTTTTGAAAAGCCTCAGGGGGAATTAGAATAGATAGTGGAATATCTGGAGAAGGATGAAAAGGCAAGAGTAGTGATTATTAATGTTTGAATGCTGATTGGAATATATAGCAAGAAAAAGAGGTGAGGATGGAGGAATAAGAGTGGCTCTGTGTAAAGCTATAAAGGAAAATAAAAGGAAAAGGAAGCATGTGAAAGCAAGAACATGAAGAAAAAAAAGAAAAAAGCAAGTGAATAAAATTGAGCTGGGGTTGGTACAGACAACAAAGAAACCTAAAATCTAAACAATCAATGACTTATACTACAGAGATTCTCTGGGAGGCCTGAAGGTTGATCCCACATAATAATTTAAGAGTAGTATGGATTACCCACTCTCACTTTCTCCCACTATTTATGGGTGCAGTCAATTAAGCTTGGCAACATTACACAGTAGTAGCAGAGCTATTGCATTTCCCATCCTGTGGGGCTGTCAGCACACATAGTCATTTTCCAACTGTCAGGGCAGAGGATTCGGTCTCTGGATAGTGATTACACTCCTTCGAATGTGTATGTGGAAACTCTTTCTACCCAGAGGAGGAACTATTACAATGAGCACCATCAGCGAGTGATACACTGCTTCCTTTTGCATTCTTAACGCAAGCATAACTAAGCTACCAAATAAATCAGAGAAGCATAGACGTTCCTTAGAAATTATTTTCCTTAAATTGAAATTGATTGTTAGGGACCAGATCTCTACTTCAGTCTTTATTTTTATTAAATTTTTCCAAGCCCTGCATTTTACCTCTTATTCACGAATTTGTTTTAAAAAATTATAAAGTGGCTGGGCGTGGTGGCTCACGCCTGTAATCTCAGCACTTTGGGAGGCCGAAATGGGCAGATCATGAGGTCAGGAGTTCGAGATGAGCCTGACCAACATGGAGAAACCCCGTCCCTACTAAAAATACAAAAATTAGCCAGGTGTGGCGGTACATGCTTGTAATCTCAGCTACTCAGGAGGCTGAGACAGGAGAATCGCTTGCACCAGGGAGGCAGAGATTGCAGTGAGCTGAGATCTTGCCATCGCACTCCAGCCTGGGCAACAGAGCAAGACTCTACCTCAAAGAAAGAAAAAAAGTTATAAAGTAATTCCTATGTATCAGAAACTGGAAATACTAAAATGAAGAAGACAGCTATGTTCCAGCTTTTATGGGGCTTATGCTCAAGTGAAGGAGACACTCTTTATATTTATTGTGTAACATTTTTTGAAGTTTACAATCATTTGGAAGGCAGAGTAAATACTCAATCTCATCTTAAAAGTAAACTGAGAGGAATTCGCACAATGGCATAGCACACAGTTCTCAAAGTATGTCCCCCGACAACCAGTACCAACTGGAAACTTGGTAGAAATGCACATTCTCTAGGTTCTCCCTAGTCATAAATTGGAAACTCTAGGATGGGGCTACACAGTCTCTTTATCAAGATTTCCAGGTGATTCAGATGCACATTTGAGAAACATTGGTATAAAAAAAAATACTAGACTGAATTAAAAGACTAGGCATTTGTTGTGAGAGCTGGGGAAAATTACTTAATGATTTGGCTTCTGTTTTCTAAAAATGAACCGTGTTTTCCTGTTTTGTAGATAAATCTATGCCAGGAGTCACAAACTCAGATAACTGTAGATATTAAGTTGGCAACATCAGTGAGTGAAAATGGTCAGGCATATGAGAACACAATAGCCTAAGTGAGTTAAGAAATGACAACTAGGTGTTGGGAGACAGAAGTGTGTAGTGAGAACCACAGCAAACTTGAAATAACAAAGCCCTTCTAGAAAAAAAAAAAAATCAAGTAAAAGTAGAAACCTGAATTTGTGTGTATGTGTAAATCTCTTAATTATTAATTATGAACTAACACTGCAGTCCAAAAAATTGCATGTGTGCGAAAAATGAAATAAAATCGGAGAGAAAGAGAGAAAGAGATTGGGGCTGAGAGACTGTTAGGCTAAATTTGGCGAGGAGGCTGTCAGGCTGTAAACTTTGGCTATGTTTTTGAGGTCCACATAAGGAAAGTAAGAAGTCTGTGGGTAAAGGTAAGTGTTGTGGTAGGAAGGGGTTGATTGGATGGCAAGGTAGAAATGGTAGACTTCCATGATGGGCTTCTGCCATGATGGTCTTTAAGAGAGTCACACTGCTGATAAATAGTAGAATCACACATATTATTGCCTATTAAGATACTAATAATGACTCCAAAAAATGGAAGAAATTTAAAGTGTTTTTAAATTCACCCGTTGGGCCCAAGTGTCAAAGGGACAAGAGTTAGCCAGGTAAGGCAAGGACTGGAAGTCTGGTTAGAAAAGGGGTCTCACAAGGTTTGGACAAGCAAAATGTTGTGTATTAAAATGGCAGAAAAGACACAAATACTGTATAAATGCAATACAGATGACATAAGAAGATAAGACAAGGGAAGAAAGAGGTACTTATTCAAAAAATAGGTAAGGAGATCCTATTTGATCAGGAAGTCAAAATTAACTAGTAAAAATGGCACAATAAAATCTAGGGTTACTTTTTTTCCTGTCATTTAAAAAAGCACTGTATAGGCCAGGCGCAGTGGCTCACGCCTATAATCCCAGCACTTTAGGAGGCTGAGGAGGGCGGATCACGAGGTCAAGAGATGGAGACCATCCTGACAACATGGTGAAACCCCCATCTCTACTAAAAATACAAAAATTAGCTGGGCATGGTGGTGTGTGACTGTAGTCCCAGCTACTTGGGAGGCTGAGGCAGGAGAATCACTTGAATACGGGAGGTGGAGGTTGTAGTGAGCCGAGATCGGGCCACTGCACTCCAGCCTGGTGACAGAGCGAGACTTTGTCTCAAAAAGACAAAAAAAAAAAAAAAAAAAAAGCACTGTATAATAACTTTGTGCTTATGCCACAGAAGATGACAATTGCCAGAAGGTACATAGAGGCTTACAGATGACTCTCATCCCTTTTGGGGGCATTGATCAAGATGATAGAAAATAATTATGGTTATAATTCTGTATTTCTATTATTTTTAATGAAAGTTTAACAGAATATGACAAACAGGGAATATGGAGAATTTTAAAAGAATACCCTGCTATAATTGAAAACTCAGGTCCCGAAAGATACTCATGTCCTGAAAGAAAAGACAATTACTACATGTTCTCATTATTTAATTTAATTTTTTTTTAATTTTTTTTATTTTTTGGAGACAATGTCTCACTCTGTTGCCCAGGCTGGAGTGCAGTGGCTCAGTCATGGATCACTGCAGCCTTGAACTCCCCGATTCAAGTGATCCTCCCCCTCAGCCTCCCAAATTACTGGAATTACAGGCATGGGTCATCATCCCGGCCTTGTTCTCACTTATAAATTGGAGCTAAATAATATCTACACATGGACATAGAGTGTGGAATGATAGACATTGGAAACTCAGAAGGGTTGGGAGTGGGAGGGGGGCAGATGATAAGAAATGGCTTAATGGGCACAATGTACATTATTTGTGTGATGGATTCATTAAAAGCCGTAACTTCACCACTATGCAACCTCTGCATGTAACAAAATCATACTTGAAGGCCAGGCATGGTGGCTCACACCTGTAATTCCAGCAATTTGGGAGGCCGAGGCATGAGGCAACCTTGAGCCCAGGAGTTGCAGACTTGCCTGGGCAACATAGTGAGATCCCATCGCTAACAAAAAAAATTACACTTATACCCCATACATTTATACAAATTTTAAAAAGGAAAAAAAAAAGAATATTTAGCAAGCTTCTGATGATATTTATCTCAAAATAAATTCCTTGCTTAATAACAAAAAATAAGTTTCTCTTTTCTACCATCCCCCCACTCCAAGTTACACAATAACACAGGATTCAGTTCAAAGCCAGACTGGCAAATTTGCAAATATTATCTACTTACACAGGCTTTGGAATGCCATTGCCTGTATCAATTATAACAATTTCCATATAATTACAAACTGACCCATACCAAGATAAAAATGGTCATATTTTTTAAAAGTGTCTCTTCACTTGCATAAGGAAAATAAATTTTTAAAAATTGTGGTTTTATGCTACTTGACATATTCGATAACCTTATTTAAGACACAGCAAGGGGGACACAGTTTCTCAATGAAAACAGTAACTCCGTATAGCAGCGTTTTAAATCCTATTGGGGCTATAAGTCACCTGTCACTGGGCATCATGGTAGAGGGCCTCAGTGCACATGCAAAGGCTTTCTGCTCTCAGCCCATCCACCATTTTTATCTGTATTTGGCAGATTTCTGCTTATCCCTCAAAATATATCAAAAGTGACACCTCTGTGGAGCCTTTCTGGGCTACTGTAGGCGGAACTAATTGCTTTCTTTCTCCTTCCATAGCACTCTGTGCGTACCTCTGTTTTGATGTTTTTCTCATCATTTTGTAACTTTATGTGGCTAACTGTTACTTTAGACTGGACTCTCTCAACAGTCATGCCCTTCTCTACCTCATCTTCTACTCCCTGGGATCTATCTGAGTACTTGGCCCGCAAAATATTTACTAAATAAACAGAGATGTGAATGAATGAGTGAGTGAATGAATGAATGAATAAATGGAGGAAAGTATGATAAGGAGGGCAAGATGCATTTCATTAGATCAAGGCCAAAGTTTCCCTTTTGTAATACATGAGTGATTTAGACAGGATGTAGTAAACTGCAGTTGAGTTTAGAAGATCCTGAGTCAGTCTACAAGATCTCGGTACACACCTACACGTTGAAATTGCCATGGTTGATATAGGCAAAAATAAGTAGAGAAAGGAAATGTGAGAATTGCATATACATAATATTGGAAAAGCAAGTCAAGTCATGGGATTCATTCTTCTTCCATGGGTTCCTACAATCATACCAGATTTTTTTTAGGAAAGTGCCAGTTTTTGTTTTGTTTTGTTTTGTTTTTTACTATAATCCTATAGTTTCTAGTAATTAGCTATGCATCTGGCTTTCTGCTGGCAATGCCATGGCAATTCTAATACATTCTTGGCCTAAGAAGTAGAAAGAATGACTTGAGACTGTGGTCCTATTCACAGTCATTACTTTTGATCAGTTTCATTCTATTTTACCTTTGGAAAAGAATGGGAAACTGAGGAACACTTTCTCTTGTAAAACAATTGTTGTATCTTCTTTTTATACTTACACTTTCAAAATGTATTTTTTAGACCTACCTATTGTCTCTTTTGTTAAAGATAGTATAAAGCATATTTTGTCAAGTCAATGTTCCTATTTTTCCCTATATGTGTGCATATATATACATACACACATTTGTACGGATATAAAACAGTAAGTGCCTGAGCCCCTGGAAAATGACACACAATTTGAATGAAAGGAGTGAGAAATTGCAGGTCTGTGTCATTTCATGTGAGGGAAAATAAAGAAAATTGCCTGAAAAACACAGAAAAGTTGCAGGGAAATGTTCAGTAATTGCAGAAGGATTGCTACTTCATGAGGCTACTTCATGAGGCATTTTTCCTTATTATTTGTGTCTTTAAGTAGAATGTCCTGTGTTCTGTTTATGTATGAGTTTACTCCTCAGCTTTGCTCTCTGATCCTTATTTAGACCTAGCGATTGACATGGCCTTCAGAGGATCTTGGACAGCGTCAGGAGAGGATGACATAGTCAACTGCATACCTGCAAAAGAATTCAGAACCTGTAGGTAAACAGCCTATTGCAGATTCTCAAAGACTGAAACACTCGAGTAATTACTCCTACATTGTTCTGAATCACTCATGCTACAGGCTTAAGAAGCTTAAGGAAAAGCATGCAAGGTATCACTCTCCTAGTGTGAGACAAAAGGAAAGCTTTATCTTCTCTGTTTTAATTTCCTAGATTTCCTACCTTCTCATTTCATCATACGCATTTTTTAATGTTAACTGGTCAGTGCCAGTCACATTTACCTCATGTATCATTGTCTGATATTCAAATTCTCTCTAGTGCTTCCTTTAATGACACGTCCAGTCTTCTGTTGGGACACAATTCTGCCCATGTTGCTCATTTCTTAATTTCCCTGCCCCTACCCTCTCTCTTTATTGCAAAGTATCACTTGAGACTAAATGAGATTTTTTTTGCCTGTTGTTTGTTTTTAAGCCTTCAACTGTCCTGCTGCGCAATTTCCAGCTGAAGTTATAATCTTCTGTTTGGGATACCATAGTTGATTACTGTTGAAATGACTGTAATACTCATTATCCACCATTTGTTGGAAGAGTGGAAGAAGACTGTGATTAAATAAAAATTGGCTTGGATTTTGCTTCCAACATCTACCACATTACTTTAAGAACTTAATCAAAATTTTGCTGTTGGTGTTTCTAAATGTTTTTCTCGATCACTTGCTTGGTCAGTACAAATGTGGTAGATTGAATTATTGACTCCATTATTTACCACTGCAGGAATCGACATCCTTTTCCACAGACCGTTGCAGTTCCTCTCACTGTAGACCGAGTAGACCCTTCGGTCTCAGTCATGTGACTTACTTTAGTCAAGAAGACTTGAAATGTGCATGCATAGATGGGCTTGTCCTCTCACACCTCTGCCACCTTTGTAAAAAGAAGCTGTCCTGTTACGATTTTGCACCAAGGAAGATGACGGACACAGAAGCATATTTGGACCCATCTCACACCCTGGCATCCACGGCAGACTGGAGAGCCAATTCTGTGCCTACTCACACACATGTAAGAGAGAATAAATGGTTGCTTTAAGCCAGCATTAGGACTGTTTATTGTGCAACAATAGCTGACTAGTACAACCACCCACATTTATGACTATGAGTGAAAAGATATGTTATTAACTGCAGTCACATCATCAATTAACATTACCAGAGTACTCATTGCAGGTAGAAATATGCATTTTGAGGAGGCCTAAAAGAGATATAGAAGTTTTGTCTGCTGCTCTGGAAGATTCTGATAGAAGGGTATGCTGCTCATCAGACTCATTATTTCAATAACATTTATTGAGAGCATACTCTGTGTCAGACACTGTGCTACAGCCGGAAGAACAAAGATAAACAAGTCAGGCCTGACTTCAACAAGCATGAGGCCTAGTAGGAGACACAGACTTGCAAACAAAGCGCTGCTTTATAAAATTTCCAAACCGGCTGGGCGCGGTGGCTCACGCCTGTAATCCCAGCACTTTGGGAGGCCGAGGTGGGTGGATTACGAGGTCAGGAAATTGAGACCATCCTGGCTAACACGGTGAAACCCGTCTCTACTAAAAATACAAACAAACAAACAAACAAACAAACAATTAGCCCGGTGTGGTGGCAGGCGCCTGTAGTCCCAGCTACTCGGGAGGCTGAGGCAGGAGAATGGCTTGAACCTGGGAGGCGGAGCTTGCAGTCAGCAGAGATCCCGCCACTGCACTCCAGCCTGGGTGACAGAGCGAGACTCCGTCTAAAAAAAAAAAAAGAAAATTCCCAAACTGCAACTGTATTTGAACTGTATACAGTACAGTATCTGGAGCCCAGCATACAATGTCCAAGTGTTTGCACCAGAACCCTGGCTCAACCAACTTTCTCACCTTTATTTGCCTCAGTTCCCTCATTCATAAAAGCTGGAGAATTCACATTTAGGATGGTATCTGACATGTAACAACTCAATGTCAGCTATTATTATCGCTGTTGTTATTATTATTAATATCAACATCAGCAGCAGCAGTATTAAGGATGAAGTAGCCAACCTTTCCTTGACCATGGCACATTTAGAGACATTGAAATTATTGTGCTAAATGCTAAGAGGGCTTAGAAAATAAATGAAACAAGGCTCCATTCTCAAGAGGCTTACCAGAAATATTCACACAAAAAGGTCAGTAATTATAGATGATGAAAAGGATGGTAACTGAAAGAAACCGTGTATTATATACCTTGTCGATTCAAACGAAATTATTTTATACACATATAACCACCTAGACTTGATTGGTTAGGGGTTTTCACTGGTATGGTGACATTTGTCTCAATTTTGCTGAAGATGACACTATGTAAATTCATGCTTGATAGTTATAATTAAATTAAAATGGAAGATTTGTATTTCTTTCTTGATAAATCGACTCAGTCTCACCTACATCCTTAGAAGCTCAGTCTCAGGCAACAAATTTCTGTGTAATTCTATTCAAATTGTATATACTGGTCTACAGCCATACTTCTGCCGTTTGTAAATGAAAAATATATAATTGAATTAGGTTTCTGGAGCTTGCCTTACTTATCAAGTTTCAAATCCAGACTAAGTGCCTAGAACAGCCCTTATACTACTCTAAGTTACTAGATGAACCACAGTATCTAATCTCCACTCAAATTGTATGTGCAGAAAGACCCAGAATTAGCATGTTATTAAGTTTAATATGAACGATAAATATAATCATAAAATAATATATAGCCCAAAGTGTATGTGTGTCTGAAGCCAGGCAAGGGCCAGTTCTCTGGACTTGGTCTAGGTGAAGTGATGATTAGAGTGGCTCAGGTGAAGACGCGGGGAGTAAGGGAACTGGACTGATTAGAAGTATACATAATTGCCAGGGCATGGTGGCACACACCAGTAATCCCAGCACTTTCAGAGGCTGAGGCAGGTGGATTACCTGAGGTCAGGAGTTCAAGACCAGCCTGATTAACATGGTGAAACCCTTTTTCTACTAAATACAAAAAATTAGCCAGGCATGGTAGCAGGCTCCTGTAATCCAAGCTACTTGGGAGGCTAAGACAGAAGAATCACTTGAACCTGGGAGGCAGAGGTTACAGTGAGCCAAGATCACACCATTGCACTCCAGCCTAGGCAACAAGAGCAAAACTCCATCTCAAAAAAAAAAGAAAAAAAGTATACATAATCTTCAGATATTTTCCCCTCAATAATTGTACATTTGGCTAATTACAAAAGCTTATAAACATCTACAACACACACACACACAAACACACACACCAACAAATAAAGAAAGTAAAAATTGGCAAACGTTATAAAGAGGTAACTCACAGGAAAGCAAATATAAATGGCTATCAGATGAAAATGTTTGACCTTATCAGTAACTAGAGAAATTAAAGTTAAAACAATATAAAAACATTTTACACTTATCTTATAATTTAAATTTTTAGTAATTATATAATGGCAAGCTTTGGTTCTCAGCTTGAACGCTATTGGTGTATGGAAATGTTACTGATTGTTATCTGCTGACTTTTTTATCCTGAAATTTTGCTGAAGTTGTTAATCAAGTCTAGGTATCTTTTGGAGGAGTCTTTAGGGTTTTCTAGGTATACAGTATGTCATTAATGAAGAGAGAGTACTTGACTTCTTTTTTTCCAATTTGGATACGTTTTATTTCTTTCTCCTGCTTAATTGCTCTGTCTAGGACTTCTAGTACAGTATTGAATAGAAGTGGTGAGAGTGGAAATCTTTGTCTTTTTCTACTTCTTGGGGTGAAGGCTTTCAACTTTTCCCCATTCAATATGATGTTGGCTGTGGGTTTGTCATAGATGGCTCTTATTTTGAGCTGTGTGTGTGTGTGTGTGTGTGTGTATATACACACATATATATACACACACATATATTATCTATCTATATCTATCTAAATATATATATACACCAACACACACATATATATACCAACTTAAATCCCAGAGGTGAACACTACAATGTGTAAGATAAAAATTACATTGGATGGGTTTAACAACAAATTATACATTACAAAGGAAATGCAGAAGAACTTGAAAGCATAGCAATAAAAGCTAAAATGAAGCAGAGAGAGCAGGGAGAAATTTTCCAGAAAGAAAAAGAATATCAGCGTTCTGTGAGACAACTGCAAGTGGCCTAAAACAGGTAAAAGGGCATGAGAGAGAAAAAATAAATGAAACAAAATGATCCGAATTTTTTCCAAATTTGATGAAAACTCTAATATCCAGATCCAAGAGGCAAAATAAATCCCCAAGCAACCAGAAAACATTATTTTCACTTTCATTTTTATTTTTTGGTAGAGAAAAGGCCTTTCTATGTTGCCCAGGATGATTTTGAGATCCTAGGGTCAAGCAATCCTCCCATCTTGGCCTCCCAAAGTGCTAGGATTACAGGCATGAGCCACCACACAGGGCCAGAAAAAATTTTAAAACTATACTAAGGCATATCATAATCAAATTGCTGAGAACCAGTAATTTTTAAAAAATCTTAAAAGATAACCTTATGTACAGAGGAACAAAGGTAAAGAGGACAGAAGACTTCTTGTTAGAAATATATCCAAAAAAGAGTTGAACAACATTTTTAAACTACTGAAAAAGAAAAGAATCCTTATAGTCTAGAATTCTATATCGAGGGAAAATATCACTCAAAAACAGGTAAAATGACATTTCCAGAACACAAAAGCTGAAAGAATTCATTATTAATTGATACACATTAAAAAATATTAAAGGCAGTCTTTTAGGCAGAAAGTAAATGATATTGATAGACTGTGATGAGTTAAGATGTAAACTATGCACCCTGAAGCAACTGCAAAAATAACACAACAGAGTTTTAGCTAACAGGCTAAGAAAGAAGACAAATTCAAATGATCAAATCTACTAATCCAATAGTTGACAGTAAAAAAAAAAAAAAAAAAAAAAAAAAAAAAAAATCAAAGAACAAAGAAAAGATGGTTCAAATAGTGAGTTTATTGATGAAAAACTGAAGCCTAACCATTTCAATAATCACACTAATATTTAATATTGTCTCTTCAAATATAAAGATACAGCTATAAAAAGATTAAGATGTAAAAGAGTGGTATCTATGTACAACGGTAACACTTTGAAAAGAAAGCTGAAGTGGCTGTTAAATATCAGACAAATTATACTTCAGAGCAAAGAATATTACCAGTAATAAAAATGATTTTTTCTGATACTGGCAAACTGCCAATTCATCAAGACATAATTATTACGCATTTCTATGCCCCTAATAACATAATTTCAAAATAAGTGAAACAAAAATGCATAGAACAAATAGAACAAAAAAAGCAAGGACAAATAAACAAATCCAAACTTAAGGATTTCAATACTGTTCTCTCAATAATTGACAGAATGAATAGAGAAAAAATCAGTAAGGATATAAAAAATTGAAAACCACTAGGAACTAACATGATGTTTATGGAACACTAACAGGAGGTACACACTTTTTCCCAGTGCACATGGAACATTTGCCAAAATAGACTATACTCTGGACCATAAAAATAAGTCTCAGTATATTTAAAAGTATTCAAATCACACAAATAACATTCTAACATAAACTAAGTAAAGATAACAAAAATATTTCAGATAATATCAAAGTATTAGGGAACCAAATAACACACTTTAAAATAATCTATGGGTCAAAGCATATATAAAAAGGAAAATTATAAAATATTTTGAACTGAATAATAATGAAAACAAACCATATTAAAGAATTTAGGTGTGCCAATTTTTTTTTGAGACAAAGTCTCACTCTGTTGCCCTGGCTGAAGTGTAGTGGCACGATCTTGGCTTACTGCAACCTCCACATCCTGGGTTCAAGCGATTCTCCTGCTTCAGTCACCCGAGTAGCTAGGGTTGCAGGTACCTGCCACCATGTCTGGCTAATTTTGTAATTTTTTTTAGTAGAAACAGGGTTTCATGATGTTGGCCAGGCTGTTCTCAAACTCTTGATCTCAAGTGATCCACCTGCCTTGTCTTGCCAAAGTGCTGGGATTACAGGTGTGAGCCACTGCACTCGGCTGGGGATGCCAATTTATAGCAATCTATGCCCATATTTAATAAGATGTATGGTTTTAAATAAGTGACCTCAAATTCTACCTAAGAAATTAGAAAAAAGAAGAGAAAAATAACGCCAAAGCAGAAAAAAAGAAAATCATAAAAATCGAGACAGAAATCAATAAAATAGAAAACAGCAAACAAAAGAGAAAATTAATGAAACCAAAAGCTAGTTATTTTAAATAATCAATAAACCTGATAAACCTCTGGATAGACTTAGAATAAAAAGAGATAAGACTCAAAATACCAGTATAGGGAATGAAAGAGGCGACAGCAATACCAATTCCTGATATTGAAAGAATAATCAGGGGGAATACCAATAAGTTAAAAACTTTGATGTATAGAAAAAATTTCTTAAAAGACACAATGTAACAAAATATATTCAAGAAGAGATAAATAATCTGATAGTCTTATATCCACTTTAAAAAAAAAAAAAAAAACCTGAAACTGTTCTCCCAGCCTTAGATAGCTTCACTGGTTAATTCTACAAAACATTTAAGGAAAAAAAAATAACAAATTTCATACAAGAAATTCCAGAAGATTGTTAAGGAGGAAATATTTCACAATTCATTTTATATAGCCATCATTATTTTGATACCCAAACTAGACAAAGACATTACAGGAAATTACAGACCTATCACAACAATACGGGTTAAA
Organism: Homo sapiens; assembly: GCF_000001405.40. Taxonomy (NCBI): domain Eukaryota; kingdom Metazoa; phylum Chordata; class Mammalia; order Primates; family Hominidae; genus Homo; species Homo sapiens. The sequence continues at coordinate 166,199,199 of NC_000005.10, read as the reverse complement.
CAATCTAAATTTCAGAAAATAAAACCCAAAACTCCTAAGAAAGATTGTGTCATTAAATTGAGTTTATTCCATGAATAAAAGGTTGATGTAACATTAAATGTTAATCAATGTAATTCAGAACATTAACAAATTAAAGAAGTAAAAACATATGAACATCTCAGTAGATACAGGGAAAATATTTGACAAACTCTGACTTCCATTCCTGATAACAACTCTAGCAAACTAGGAATAGCAGAATATTTCTACTACCAGGAAAGCATATCTATGAAGAACCTGTAGTTAATATGATAGTAATAATGAAAGACTGAATGTTTCCTGCCTAAGAAAGAAAATAAGAATGTCAGCTTTTAACACTTCTATTTAATAATTTTACTTGAGCCAGTGTTTTAATAAAGCAGGAAAGAAAAAAATTAAAAATTGTCTTTATTTTCAGATGATATAACTGTCTATGTTAAAAGCATGATGAATTATATAAAAAGTTACAGAATTTATTATTGAGTTTGGCAAGGTTGCAGGATACAAGATCAATATTAAAAAATTAATTGCATTGCTATATACAAGCAACAATTGAAAACTGAAATAAAAATATCATTTGCATTAGCATCAAAATATGACATTCTTAGGAATAAATCTGAAAAGAGATATAAAAGACCTATACACAGAAAACTAAAAAAAAAACTGCTGGAGGGAACTAAAGAAAAGCTAAATAATTGGAATGACACACTGTGTTCATGGTTTCAATGACTCATTATTGTTAAGATGCCAATTCTTCCCAAATTGATCTGTAAATTCAACACACCCTTAAACAAAATATCATCAGGCTTTTCTTGTAGACACCAAAATAATTTACAGGGAAAGGTACATAACCTAGAATAACCAAAATAACTTTCAAAAAGAAAAAAAAATTGTAGGGCTAACAATATCTGATTTCAAGACTTAATACAAAGCTACATAACTAAGGGTGCGATTATTACAAAAATAAACAAATACGCAAATAGAACAGCCTAGAGTTTTCAGAAATAGATCCATACACTATGGACTGCCTTTTGACAAAAGTGCAAAGACAGTATAGTGGAGAAATCATAGTCTTCAACAAACAGTATTGAATCATTTGAACAAGTTGTATGTAAAAAAATGAACTTAAATTCAAGCCTCATACTATGTAAAAAATTAACTTAAAGAAGGATCATAGACATAAATATAAAACATGAAACTATAACAATGTTTTAGCAAAACTACATGGAAGAAAATGTGGCCTCAGAATAGTCAAATATCTCTTAGATATGATAGCAAAGGTATGATTCTTAAAACGATACATAAGTAAATTATACTTCAAAAACAAAAACTCTTTCTTAAAAGACACTGCTAACTGCAGCAAACCACCATGGCATGTGTATACCTATGTAACAAACCTGCACGTTCTGCACGTGTATCCTAGAACTTAAAGTATAATAATAATAATTTAACAACAAAAAAAGGCCAGGCATGGTATCTAAGAACTTAAAGTATAATAATAATAATTAAAAAAAAAAAAAAAAAAAAAAGGCCAGCACGGTGGCTCATGCCTGTAATCCCAGCACATTGGGAGGCCAAGACACGTGGATCACCTGAGGTCAGGAGTTCAAGACCAGCCTGACCTGCATGGTGAAACCCTGTCCCTACTAAAAATACAACAAATTAGCTGGGGGTGGTGGTGGGCACCTGTAATCCCAGCTACTCGGGAGGCTGAGGCAGGAGAATCTCTTGATCCCAGTAGGCAGAGGTTGCAGTGAGCCAAGATCCTGTCATTGCACTCCAGCCTGGGTGACAAGAACAAAACTCCGCCTCTATTAATAATAATAATAATAATAATAATAATAATAATGATAAAACACTTATTAGGAGAACACAAAGACAAATTTCATCCTGGGAGATATTTGCAAATTGTATATTTGATAAATGACTTGTATCCAGAAATACATAAAGAACTTTCAAAACTCAATAATTAAAACCAGACAGCATACCACAAAAACAGAAAAAAGATTTCAGCCGATACCTCACTAAGGAAGACAGATAAATACCAAGAGGCATATGAAAATATGTGTAATGTAATTCTTCATTAGGGAAATGCAAAATTATACTACAATGAGAAACCACTCCACACCTGTCAGAATGGCTAAAATGAACAAAGTCTGACCAGATCAAGTGTTGGTAAGGATGTGTAGGAAGCACCCCAGAAGATATTTACTTAATGCAAAGGAAGGCAGTAAAGGAAGAATAGAAGAACCCACAACACCTGACACATATGAAAAACAATACAATGTACTGTGGAAATCTTTCTAAATTAATAACTGAGCTACAAGCCAACCTTTTCTTTTAAATGGCTGTATCACATTCTACTTAGTGCAATGTTCTATAATTTATCTATTACCAATGATGATTGTATAGAGTGAATCCATGTCTTTATTATTATTATTATTAATTAATTAATTTATTTATTTGAGATGGAGTCTCTCTCTGTCGCCCAGGCTGGAGTGCAGTGGCTCGATCTCGGTTCACTGCAAGCTCTGCCTCCCGGGTTCACGCCATTCTCCTGCCTCAGCGCCCCGAGAAGCTGGGACGACAGGCGCCCGCCACCATGCCTGGCTAATTTTTTGTATTTTTAGTACAGACATGTTTTCACCGTGTTAGCCAGGGTTGTCTCGATCTCCTGACTTTGTGATCCACCTGCCTTGGCCTCCCAGAGTGCTGGGATTACAGGCGTGAGCCACCGCACCCGGCCCCATGTCTTTATTATTAAAACAAAAAACATCCTTACAGATATACCTTTGCAAATCAGGGCTGGTTTATCTGTTTGTTTTAAAGCACCAGCTGGTAGTACATTTTCTTCACACACAGTGGGTAGTTACGAAGGAACACCACAGTGTGAACACAATATATAATCACGGTACTTTTGCATACTTTAAAAATCACTCAGGTTCCTTCCAAATATGAGCTAATCCAAAAAACTACTTGGGATGCACTGGCAATATGGATGGTCCTTCTGTTCAGGATTAAATTGTGGCAAAATTTCATGTAAGCCTCATACTGGTTGTATTACGAGAGAAGTTCTCAGCCTCAACTTCTACACTTGTGTTCATATAGGAGCCTCCTGCAATAGCAGGGACTTTCATACCAAGGACAATGAGGTAAAAAAACAACAACAACAGCAACAAAACAGATCACCACCAATACTCACATAAATACTACCAGAGCTGTCATTTATTCTGGGCTTACACTCTTAGTAGCAAGCTGTACATGAAATACTTCCTATTATCTTATTTACTCTTCAAGGTAGCAAAGGAGGTAGATAGTATTGTCTCTGATTCATAGGTAAGTAAATCTGGATGAAAGTCATTTAAGGAACTTTCCCACAGTCATTCAGCTGGTGAAGAAAGGGATCAAAGATTCAAATACAGATCTTTCTGGCAGAAAAGCCACACTCTTAGCAACTGCCTTACCGCTATATTTAACCGTAAAAAATCATCTGGAATTTCAATGTCCAACAACAAGAAATGCATTGTATAAAGGATGGAATATTTACATGATGAAGTATTCTGCATACATTTGAAACATATATTCAAAATTAATTCAAAGAAAACTAAGCTGTAAAACATAATGATTAAAATCTTATTCAAAACTGAGAGTGTAGGAGGGGACAGAGACACGTCTAGATTGCTCCATTTTTTTTTTTTTTTTTTTTTTTTTTTTTGAGACAGAGTCTCACTCCATTGACAGGCTGGAGTGCGATCTCGGCTCACTGTAACCTCCATCTCCCAGGTTCAAGCAATCCTCCTGCCTCAGCCTCCCAATTAGCTGGGACTACAGGCGCACACCACCATACCCAGCTGATTTTTTTGTATTTTTAGTAGAGATGAGGTTTCATCATGTTGGCCAGGATGGTCTCGATCTCTTGACCTCGTGATCCACCCTGCCTCGGCCTCCCAAAGTGCTGGGATTACAGGTGTGAGCCACCGCACCCGGCTCAAATTTTTTTTTCCTTCATTTTACTCTTCATGGGCATTTAGTAAGTCTCTATCTGTCCATTTATTTTACAATAAATTTGAGACCTTGTGGCAAAAGTTGCTTGCTTCTTATCAATATCCTTTATGAGCCTCCTGTCTTATTCTATCATAGGAAACTTGGAGGCCATGTGTTTCAAATCATTTACCTATAGTATAGTGGAGCCTACAACAGACTGGAACTCTGAAGAACTATGGGAAGCAGAACCCCTGTTAACCTACGTTAAGTATATGATGGAATTAGTAACCAACCTTTGTGCTATAAAACTCCTAAAATTTAGGAATCTGTCACTGTATCATAACCAGCCCATCCTCACCAATACTTTCTCCCTATGTTTACAAATACAAACACATGCACGAATACATCCCAAGAAAATATGTACTAAAATAATAATAAATTTCCTGTTTTAATTTTGAGATCGTTTCTTATTTTTTATTTTCTTCTCTGCATTTAAACATTTTCCTGTAAAAATACCTATGTCTTACGCAATTGTTTAAATTTTGAATTGTCCAGATATTTTTTGTAATTATTAGGACAGACAATAATTCAGAAAGAGTTTCTCTACTGCTTTTTGAAAAAATGTTCAAATTTATTTCCTTTTCTCAGCTTCACATAGATTTCAGTCTCAGCTCATCTGTCCTATTATTTGAAGTCTTTTAAATAACCATGAATTTGCATTTTTATCTATCTTCTTGTAACAAATAATTTCCATTAATTCCCATGCTATTTATTTTTTTTAATGTTCCAGAATTTGCTTAATCGATTTCAAATTTTGTTGGAAAATTCAGTCTGCATTGTTTTACTGGCATTAGCTCTATATAGGCTTTTTTAAATGCAAGAAACTTGTCATTTAATTTTTAATGTTTTATATAAGCCCAAGTATAGCTATAACCCCCAACATATTCATTACTTTTGCCCATAAACATGGAAACGTCTATTATAATCCTCACATTACATATTATTAAGGAAACAGCCAAGTACTATGTATTGACAATCTAAGCATAAAGGAAAAAATTAGGAGGGAGGAAGGGATTATTGATAAGGAGAAGGTTGGGTCAATATAATATCAAACAATGGTCTTCAAGAGACTCTGAGAACTGTATATTGATTATTGATATCTTTCTGAATCAATAAGCTGATCGGTTGTGAGTACTTTTCTATAAAGAGACCTTAAGTAATTTCTCTCATTGATCCAGTAGGCAGCTGTTCCTATTGCCTTTGTGCACACATGGGCGTACAGATGTGTGCTTTGTTTATGTATCTGTACACATAGAAAGTGACAAGATTAGGAAGAAAGAAGAAAGAAATGAAGAAAGAATGAGAGAAGTTCACAAACAATGAGAAAAAGAAAAGTCCATTTGCCAGCTGGATTTCTTTTCTCATGATCAGTGATATGAAACAACAGCTCGCCTTGTATAATTCTGGACTCAACCAAAAGAAACATCAGACTTTAAAAAATGGTTTCTTGGCATCGTTTGGCTTCCAGGAGATCGAGGAGTAATAAGAGTTCATCACGAACTCAAATAGCATCAAAACCTCTGGGCCCTTGCTTGACCTGCATTACTTTATGATCATCAGAACACACAAAAAGTTTGGGGACAAAGTTCTCCAGAAAGTTGTATTACTGAATTTGCAAATTCTCTTATTATTTTATAAATAAGAAATGAAACATGTTTTAAGAAAACATGTAATAATATGCTTTAAAAAAATAGGCTGCCTTTTAAGTAAGGACTTCCTGAAGTCGTGACTCAGGGAGGGGTGGTCCAGAGCTGGTTTAGTTTTTAGTGATTTTTAGCTACAAGATTTCTGTCTTGAGAAAATAGTTCTTGTTTCAAATTGGGCATTGGTCCTTACCCTCTTATAATCATTCCCATGGTTCCACAAAGTTGAAAATCAACATGGAACATATGGCATTCATATATCTTATAGTCCCAGAATCCTATGATCACCTTAGTTGCAATCTCATTCTGACTTATTTTCAAAACCTCTGATTAGCTCTGTTCTGCACCTTCCCCATTCTTAATCTGCATTCCCCTGCAAGGTAGCCATGTACAATCAACAGAGCCCCCCAAATAGAAAGCAAGAAATGACGAGCCAGATACAAAATGTCCTTTAAGATATAGTTTGCAAACTCTTCCTTGTTTGCTGCCTACTGTCTGTTTTTAAATAATGCACAAATCAACTTCGGTACCATGGAAATAATCAACACGGCATCAAAACCTGGAGTTTCTGGTAGAGCACAAATCAAAAGCTGTAGGAATCCAACAGCTGGAGCCTGTCTCATTATTTCCCTGTTCTTTGATGTGCTTTTCAGCCAAGTATCTTAGAGAATTACTTGCAGATATGTCTATCTACAAATTCTACACTGCTTACATATTATAGTTTCCAACAGAGATAAATACTGTAACTGAGTTCTCATTTTCAAAATAGAACCCCTTCTTTTTTTCATCTTTTATTATGCACACAATCTTGTAAATGGCAAAACTGAAAATCAGCTGCATCTACTAAGAGAATCAAGTTTGTTATTGACTCTGAGATGCTAGTTTCTATTAGATCATCCATCATAGCTTTATTATGTGATCAACTGCCTAATTAATTTTGTACTGGGGTATTTAGACAGAACACTGAATGTTTCAGTGGGATTTTACTATAATCCTGCACCTGCGGCCTCAGAGATTTAGATATCCTCCTATCATAAGTTTGTACTGTGCCTATAATCACTTCTGCTTCACTAGGATTCCAGCAATTCAGTCCAGTGAAATTCAGCAATATTAATTTCAGAAACACCAGAACATTTGCATCTGTGGTTATGTTTCTTCGGACTTTAATCAGATCAAAGTCACTGCAAGATATTAAGAGCGCTAGATACAATATTTTGTTCAGACAGTTTTAGTGGCTAAATCAGACACTGTTTTGATTTTCTGTGCTTATCTGTTAATACGAACAGATGCAATCATGCTATTGTATAATGACTCTTGATTGCCAGCAGTATTTGATTTTTCAACCATTCGGTGGTGATAATTAAAGATAACGGGATATCCTATACAGTAATAATTAAAGATAGCTTCGTGAGCTTTATCACATGAATAAATGCCACAGAAGAGGAATTGGTTCTCTAAAGTTCCTCAGCAAAGCATATTTTTGGAAGGCCAACTTTGAAAAGTCTTAAAAAGAGACATTTTGGTGCAACAGGCATAGCTAAGTTTGAGCTAATTTAAAAATTTTCACTTATGTCGGTTGCCACACGTTATGACTTTGTTCTTTATTTGTTCAGAAAAATACCAGCAAGAGTGTGCTGTTCACAAGACAGAAACGGAAAAGAATCAAGCAATATGGAATGTTATCTTTCACACACAAACAGGCATTGATAAATGTACATATAAAGGATCTTTGAATCCATCTTCCATTTAAGAAGAGGAACTAGAAGTCTGTGAAACTTTGCCTTTATCTACTCTATGGAAACCAGGTGACAACTTGGGATGCAGACAGCCCCTCTCACAGGACATTATTCCCCCTAGGACTAAAACTGAAGGAAAAAGTTTAATTAATTATGTTTTTGTCAATTAATTGAAAGTGAAGGCAATGACTTGTCACAAAAAGCAATTCTTAAGGCAAGGCCAGAAGGGAGCCCAACTTATAACATCTGCCTTCAGGAATGCATTGCTTGTAAGTGTAGAAATGCCATGATAAGCATAGGACACTCAATTAAATTTAAGTTTCAGACGTAAGAAACATCACTCTTTAAAATTCAGGTTTAATTTTATTTCTTGTATTTGCATTTGCTAAATCTGCCAACCCTATATAAACATCTATACAGGTATAACTCAGAGATATTGCTGGTTCAGTTCCAGACCATCACAATAAAGTGAATATCATGATAAGGTGAGTCATGTGAAGTTTTTGGTTTCCTAGTGCATATAAAAAGTACATTTACACTCTACTGTATTCTATGAAGTGTACAATAGCATTATTTCTAAAAACAAGATTCATGTCTTAATTTAAAAATTCTTAATTGCTAAAAATGCTAATGATCATCTGAGCCTTCCAGGAGCAACAATCTTTTCACTGGTGGAGGACTTGATTCCATGTTGATCGCTGCTGACTGATCAGGGTGGTGGTTGCTGAAGGTTGGGGTGGCTGTGGCAATTTCATAAAATAAGACAACAATGAAGTTTGCTGCATCAATTGACTCTTCTTTTTAAGAAAGTTTTCTCTATAGCAGGCCATGCTGTTTGACAGCACTTTATCCACAGTAGAACTTCTTTCAAAATTGCAGCCAATCCTCTCAAATCCTACTACTGCTTAGCAACTAACTTTATGTAATATTCTAAATCCTTTGTTGTCATTTCAACAATGTTCACAGTATTTCACCGGAAGTAGATTCCATCTCAAGAAATCACTTTCTTTGCTCATCCAAAAGAAGCAATTCCTCATCTGTTCAAGTTCTATCATGAGATTGCAGCAATTTAGCCACGTCTTCAAGTTCCACTTCTAATTCTAGTTTTCTTGCTTCCACCACATCTGCAGTTACTTACTCCTCTGAAGTCTTGAGCCCCTCAAAGTCATTCATGAGTGTGGGACTCAACCTCTCCCTAATTCCTGCTAATGTTGCTATTTTGACCTCCTCAAATGAAACCACAAATGTTCTTAATGGCATCTAGAATGGTGAATCTTTTCCAGAAGGCTTTCAATTTTCTTTGCCCCATCTCTACTAAAAATACAAAAAAAAAAAAAAAAAAAAATAGCTTGGCACAGTGGCACACACCTGTAGTCTCAGCTGCTTGGGGAGGCTGAGGCAGGAGAATTGCTTGAACCTGGGAGGCGGAGGTAGCAGTGAGCCGAGATCCCGCCACTGACTGCACTCCAGCCTGGGCGACAGAGCAAAACTTCATCTCAAAAAAAAACAAAAAAAACCCCAAAACAACAACAACAAAAAAAACTACTATATATGATAGCTGTAGCCTTGGAAAATGTATTTCTTAAATAATAAGACTTGAAAGTCAAAATGACTCCTTGGTTCATGGGCTGTAGAAAAGATGTCGTGTTAGCAGGCATGAAAACCACATTCATATCCTTGGGCATCTCCATCAGAGCCCTTGGGTGACTAGGTGCATTGTCAATGAGCAGTTATATTTTGAAAAGAATCTTTTTTCTGAGTGTTAGGCCTCAAAATATTCAGTAAACCACAGTGTAAACAGATATGCTGTCGTCCAGGCTTTCTTGTTCCATTTACAGAGCATAGGCAGAGTAGATTTAGCATAATTCCTAAAGGCACTTTAAAAAAAAAAAAAGAAAATCTTAAAGATTTTCAGAATAGTAAATGAACATTGGCTTTAGCTTAAAGTCACCAGCTATATTAGCCACTAAATAAGAGTCAGCCTATCCTTTGAAGCACTGAATCCAGACATTGAGTTGTCCTTTCTACCTATGAAACTCCTAGATGGCATCTTCTTCCAATATGAGGCAGTTCGTGTAAACTGAAAATAGATTGTTTAGTGTAGCCACCCTCAATCAGTGATCTTAGCTACATCTTCCAGATAACTTGCCGCAGCTTCTATTACTACATCAGCATTTGCTGCTTCATCTTGCACTTTATGTTATGGAGATGGCGTTTTCCCTTAAACCTCACAAACCAACCTCTTCTACCTTCCAACTTTTCTTCTGCGGCTTCCTTACCTCTCTCAGCCTTCATAGAATTGAAGAGAGTTAGGGCCTTGTTCTGAATTAGGCTTTGGCTTAAGGGAATCATGTGGCTGGTTTGATCTTCTATCTTGACCACTCAAACTTTCTCCATTTCAGCAATCAGGCTGTTTCACTTTCTTACTGTTCATTTGTTCACTAGAACAGCACTTTTAATTTCCTTCAAGAACTTTTCCTTTGCATTAACAACTTGGCTAACTGGCACAAGAGGCCTGCCTTTTGACCTGTCTCAGCTTTCGACCTGTCTTCTTCACTAAGCTTAATCATTTCTAGCTTTTGATTTAAACTGAGAGACATGTGACACTCTCTTTTACTTAGAAGTCATTGTAGGGTTATTAAATGGCCCAGTTTCAGTGTTGTTGTGTCTCAGGTAATAGAGAGGCCCAAAGAGAAGGTAAGGGGTGGGGAAAGGGCCATTCGGTGGAGCAGTCAAAACACACACACATGTATTGATTAAATTTGCACTCTTATATGGGTGTGGTTCGTAGCACCCCTAAAACCATTATAATACTAACCTCAAAGATTACTGAACACAGAACATAACAGATATAACAATAATAAAAATTTTGCAATGTTGTAAGAATTACCAAAGTGTGACCCAGAGACATGAAGTGAGCACATGTTTTTGGAAAAATGGCGCTGGTAGGCTTGCTAGACCCAGGGTTGTCACAAACCTTCTATTTGTAAGAAAACTCATATCTTCAGTATCTGTGAAGTGCAATATAATGAGGTGTGCCTGCACTTTCTGATAACTAGGCTTCAGGGCACCCGCTGTGTTTTTCTAAGTAATACTTGATGGGGAAGATCAAAGGTTAGAATAATAGCAGAAGTAAGTCTTGTAAAAAGTGAAGTAAGGCCTGATGGCTGGGAGTTAGCCACCGAAGTCGTAGCCAGGTAAGTTCCCTGAGCAGGGAAACAACCTCTCCTCAGTTCAAACCTACATCTTCTTTCCTCCCTCCTGCTGCCCCTCAGTTTTGAAGTAGACAGCACTTGAAAATGATGCTGTGGATGGGAGGAGGGAGATGGGTGATCCATTACTTTAAATGGCTTTAATGAGGAGTCTATTGCACTTATCAGAAAACGGTTTATAATTGTTATCAGCTTATCAAAGCGACGAATAATAACTAAAGATCTCCTAGTTGACCACCACTTTACCAATCTGAAGTAGCTCATATGTTTTGCAGTGACCTTCCTCTCCTCACTTCTATCCTATTTGGATAATTCACTCATGGGACATCATTTCCTATGAATTAAAGGAAGGGTAAAGATTAAGTATCTTCAGATCACTTGAGGCCAGGAGTTCAAGACCAGCATGGCCAATATGGTGAAACCTTTTCTCTACTAAAAATAAAAGTTAGCTGGGTATGATGGCACACGCCTGTAACTCCAGTTACTTGGGAGGTTGAGGCACGGGCATTGCTTGAACCTGGGAGGTGGAAGTTGCAGTGAGCTATCGCACCACTGCCCTTCTGCCTGTGACAACAGTGAGACTCTGTCTCTAAATAAATAAATAAATAAATAAACAAACATTAAGTATCTCTATATGTGGTCTCTTATGTCTTCTGATAAGACTAAAATGTCGCAAAAAGATATACAGGATATTTGGTAATAGGCATAACGTTCTCCTTTATAGAAGTTATGAGTCAAGGGAGAAAAGGTTTTAGGGGCTTTCCCTTTCCAATTCTTACGTCAAGAATAGAAAATTATGTGTAAGTGAATGCTGGTAAAGAGCCTGGGTCAAAATACTACAATAATCAGCCTTATTAGCTACATGACCTTGGAGAAATTACTTACGCATTTCAAGTTGTGGTTTCAAGTTCTATAAAATGGGTATATTAACAGAACAACCATGGAGGCTTAAGGTGGACTGCAAAGATTTTCACTAATATTTTTATTTCTCAAATAGGACAATGTGGAAGTGGACTTGAGAAAGCCCAAAGTACAAAATTCCAACCAACTGTTGCCTAGTAAAATTTTTCGGCATAAGGAAAAGCATGTTAATAAAAGCATATTCTATGAATATTAGAATTTTGACATGACAGTTTTATGTCATAAGGGATATATACTTTATAACACAAATTTTCACAGATTTCAGTTGAGTCAGTTCTGCTATAATGCTTCTTGTGAAAATGCAAATTTGGTCCAATGCAATTAGTATAGCAGGGAATAATTTCGGCGTAATGCAATTCATGTTCATTTACACATGATTTCATCTGAGTGAAATGGTAGGTGAACACAGAAAACTGTATCCAGCTGACCCATGTTTCATAGGAAAGGACAAAACTCACATACCTTAAACATCTATCAACTACCAAAAGTTCCCCACCTCTGTGATGAGCCACACCTATTCTTTTTTTGTTTTGTTTATTTGTTTGTTTTGAGACAGAGTCTCGCTCTGTCGCCCAGGCTGGAGTTCAGTGGCGTGATCTTGGCTCACTGCAACCTCCGCCTTCTGGGTTCAAGGGATCCTCCTGCCTCAGCCTCCCGAGTAGCTGGGACTACAGGCATGTGCCACCACATTCAGCTAATTTTTTGTATTTTTAGTAGAGATGGGTTTTCACCGTGTTAGCCAGGATGGTCTCGATCTGTGGATCTCATGATCTACCTGCCTCGGCCTCCCAAAGTGCTGAGATTACAGGCGTTATAGCTTTCTTTTTGATATTAGACAATCATCCTTCTATCAACTTAGAATAACAAGCTACAACTCTTTTGAAACTCACTTCCACAAGCAAATGTTGGTGTTTTTGAGAAAGTGCCACACTTATATCATATATACGAATTTCTTAACCATTTAACATGTAAAACTGTGCTACCATTTTATTAGTTTCTATTGTTGCCAATAATGTTAATAGTAAATGTCACTAATATTAAATAATGTCAATAATAAAATTTTTGAGTGTTGTGTTCCAACCTCATTTTCCCCACAAGCCCCTGGTTTTTAATGCTGTGATTTGGCATAGCATGGTGACTTTTAGAAAGGAATATGTTGCATTACAGGAAAACTTCATGTATAATGAAGGGACAAATTTCCCAACTGTGAATTAAGTCTATAAATTTCAAATTTTTAATCTCTTTTGTTTCTAAAGTTTAATTCATCTGTAGTATAAGCATTTAATTCATTGTTTAGTATATAACTTGGACATTTATTCAAGATTAGAGGATAGAAGGGTAGAAGAGAAGTTTAGTGTTAATTCCTTTTCCTGCTAATAGGTTGCTATCTCTTCTTAATAAGGTAAATCTTGCCTAATGTGAACAGTAGCTTGCTGTCTGTCTCTATGAATACTTAAGAAGTTGAGTCAAATATAGGTAAGTATTTATAACCAGTAAACTCATAGTTAACGATTGCACTACTCTCAAACACAACAGTAATTTTAGAATTTATTTTTAATATTTCAATTTAACATTTTTCAATCTACTCGAGCTTAAAACTCATTTCTCCCAGCATTTAATTACACAAACACTTACTTCACTTCCAGGCAGAAACATTTCCTATCTTAGTGCTCTTACACATCAATGTTAAATGGGCACATGCTATTAAGCAGATGCTGCCATTTTCAATGTGGCATTCGAATGCTTGTCACTAAATTCCAGACAGTGTTATTAATTTTGATCATGCTTCAGAATCTAGCCTAGCCAGCATCCTAGTTATTCCACTGGTATTTCATCTAATAAGTAATTTTTTAAATAAAAAAAAACACTTGCATGTAGAGCTTCATTCTGTTTAAGAAGTGATGTGTGTCATGCATCCAAAAAGGCCAATTAAAGGCTTTCTTTCCTTTCTTAAAACTACTGACTGTGTACTAACATATGCCTGTTTTAAAACAAAGAACTCATATATGCTTTCCTGTTATTCTTATCCATGGGGGCTGGGAAATATCTGAGTTTTTTTCCTACCAAAAAAAAAGTAGTGGATAATGGTGTTTTATACATTATAGGTATCCCGTTTCTCACTTCGGTCTTGTGTCTTAGGAAGAGATGAGTTTCTTCAAGAAAAAGAGCTCAGAAGCATTTGTGCTGACAGTGCGCTACTACCGTTTTATTCCAATTTACACATAACAGCGTAAAACAATTTTATGACTCCACGCATGCCCTATTGGGGTGACAGTGTAAGCCTTGATTAGCTCATCAGAGATCAGACTCTTTAGCAAGGTACCGACAGACGCAGCGTTAAATCTAGGAAGTAGGTCAGATTTATCACCTACATCAATCCTTTTATTTAGTAGGGCAGACACATAAAGGGAAAGAGAAAGAGCATTTGTGTGCAGAAACGAGTTGACAGACACATTACAAAAATAAGTCTCCTCCTTCAGAATATCTCTCATTTAAAACAAGAAAAAAATGAACATTACACTTCTAGATAGGGACCATGCATACTCCAGGCTGCCCTGTGTAAAATGTGATTGTGCTTCTTGTCACGATTATAAAGATGACTTTTCATGATACATGGTAGGGAATAATAAACACCATTATTTTTATGCTGTATCAGACATAAAAACTAACCTAAGATCTGTACGAATATGGCTTTTAACAGTGCCTCTGATTTAAAATATTCATACACTTTCCAGCTGAAAATATATTCATATATTTGGCATTATAGTAATATTTAAACCAAATTCTAAGAACTGTCCACAAATTTTGACAGTTGTCTACAGTTTTCAAGTGACTATTTCTGTTAGATCACAAGTTCTGCATTCGGTCTCTCTCCTTCTCTCGACCTCCTGGCACTTTGCTTTCCACTGGTGTTGGTGAAAATAAATTTCGTCCCAAACTACAACTTAAAAGAATAGACAAATAAAAACCATGCCCTAGCATTCATTTTTAGAATCATATTTCCTCAGAATTTGGAGGAAAGAGAATGACAATCCCAACAGTGTCTGTGTCCCTTACTGGTTAAATAATTAATGGTGAAAATAAAATAAACACAGCATTTTTTCCATTGAAAATTAGGAGCTCACAATTTATATTGATAATTTATAACACAACCATAAACCTTTTTTGTTTTCTTGGTCCCCTTTTGCATATAATTTATGACGAACCATTAAAAGTCAATAATAAATGCCTCAGATTAAAACACTTAACATCTATGTATGCTAATTATTAGAGTTTTAAAGAACTAAAATAATAAACTGAGCCAAAAATGAGATCCATGGAGAGTTATACTTCATAATTAAAACATATGAATCCTAAATATGCTTTCTTGGCCAATCGTGTAATCTCTAAGGGTATACCATAAAAATGCGAATGCACCCACATATTCCAATTAATGTTTCCATCTTGGCTGACTTGCTTGGTGGATTCAGAAAGCCAGAATGTTCTAACAACTTCACAAATACAGCATGAGAGTCAGGCCCATACTTTAACATGCTACTTTTTCCAAATACTGCACATGCTCCTAATGCAAAGTGGTATAGTTCAAAAGTAATACTATAAAAAGCTTTAAAAAGATAACAAAATGCTATTACCTATTAGTGCCTGAAATTGCAAAAACATGATGCATTTCTCTGTTTTAGGTAGAAGGGTTGTATGGGTCAGCTCGTATTTGCAAATGCATGTGAGTTTTCTGTTCTGGCCAAATGAGCCCATCAAGGTCATGAACTTGAGGGATTATCTCTTAAAAAGTGTGGACACACCCCATTACAAATGAATAACAAGGCATTTTCAAAGTACTAAATACAGTTATTTATTTAGTTAGCTAAACAATGTTTCTGAAATAAATTAATAAATTCATCTGACTCTATCAAAATCTCTCTACTCTGTAGTTCATCCGTCTATTTCACAAACAATTGAAATTCATGGTATTTCAAGGCACAGTTGCCAGATTATCATCTTAGGTATATCTCCTTTTAGAACAGCAGGAAGACAAAAAGGAGAGAGGAAATATTAAAAGTCAAGTATTTGTGAGTACTGGGGTAGATTTTAGCCCAGAGAAATATCTTTCAGGATACCATTGTGTTCTTAATTTACATTTGTTTCTCCCTTTGACTTACTGTTTTTCTTAAACAATATTTAAGTGGTTTCTAAGGCAATGGACAAATTCCTTCCCACTTCCATTGTTTTCTGGTATTTATGCCACTTTGGTTTGCTGCTAGATATTGAAATAAAGAGTTTCACTTTGCTTTCTCACCATGTCAAATGTACACAGTTGTCCTTCGGTACACTCAGGGACTTGGTTCCCAGACCACTCTCTGCCCCATATATACCCAAATTTATGCATACTAACGTCCCACAGTGGGCCCGGAGGAATCTGTGTATACAAAAAGTCAGCCATCTGTATACATGGGTTTCACATCCCACCATTACTCCATTACTATATTTTTAATCTGTGTTTGGTTGACAAAGATCAATGTATAAGTGCACTCATGCAGTTCAAGCCCAAGTTGTTCAGCTGCATATCTAAGATGGTTTCTATCCAACATTCTGGAATTCAGCATCTGATTATTTAGGCTTTACTTGTGTACCCAATAGTTTGCTCTGTTTCCAGGCCAATAACTACATGGAAACTGGATTGTTTTTAATGGTGGTAGCAGAATCTCTTGAAGTAGAATTATTTAAGGGACTTCAAAAAATGCGTATCTCTGGGATCCAACACTGCCCTAATGAACCAGATACTTAAGGTCATAAATGTACAATATTAACAATTTTCTCCGTTGATTCTTAGGTCCACTAATGTTTGGTGATGAGTGCTTTCAATAATTTCACAGCTCAATAAAACCTCCACCGTACATTAATGAACAAAACCTAAATAGACAGAATAAAGTATCATTCTATTTGTTAGTCACACTTTGGTGGAAGCCAGAGAAAATACTGGTTAAACCAGCTTTTGGAATTGTGTCTAGCTTTAATTAATTCTTCCCATTTTCCCCCTACTATCATGATAAGTAAAAATGAATTTTGGGTCCATTCTAATAAAGTGACTTTCTGAACCCATTTGTGGAAAACTATATCATAACTAGTGGAATAGAGACATATGCATTCATGCATGCATCTGTGCACTTACTCTTTCACCAATCATATATTAATTGCCACATATTGTATGTGACAATTATTATATTAAATCTGTTGCTAAAAAAAAAAAAAAAAAAAAAAAAACAAGAGGGTTCTCTGCTTCCAGGAAGAAAACACATGTGACCAACAATTTGGAAAATGAATATGACTGTAGTCCACCATAATTGACATATGAACAAAGTGCTGTAGGAGCACAGTAGAGTGATGTATTAACTCAGTAACTCAGCTTTTATGGTAAATAAAAAAAAAAAAGAACCAATAAAGTCTCCAGGGCATGAGCTGTGCCCTCTTTGGGCAAAGAAATAATTATGATCAAATGCATGAAGGTATGGAGGTAGGGTGTATTGAGGAAACAGGTTACCGGGGCTCCCTTATAAGGTACATGGGGATTTGCGTCAGAAAGTGAGGACAAAATAATCAGTTCTGAAGAGTGTTTTTGTTTGTATGTTTGAGATGGGTTTAGGACGTATTTTCACAGAAGAGTTGACATTAAAGCTGTATAGAAAGACGAATAAGATTTTATCACCAAACAATGAAAGCATACTCTGACAGCAGAGATAACATAAGCCAAATGCACAGGAGCATGTGAGTGTCCCTATCACTAGGGAACAGTGTTGCTTTACAGCCTTAGAATATATAATACATGTGGTGGGGAATGATATTATATAAAGTTGGAAGATTAGATTATAAAAAGCTGCAAATTATAAGCTAGGAAGGTTAGATGCTATTCTAAATGGAATGGAATGAAATGAAATGAATGAATGAAATAAAAATATTTAATAAGGGGAGAAACATCATCAGAGGTCACTTGTAAAATGACATTTATAATAGCAGTCATTTTGGGTGCTGTGTAGTATTCCACACAAAGATATGCTACAATTTATTTATCTATTATAATATCAATGGATAGCATATCCATATGTGAAATACTATATAGCACCCAAAATGATTGAGCCATAGCTCCCCACAATAACAGCTGAATCTCACAAGCATAATGTAAGTTAAAGAATCCAGGCACAATAAAATCCAAGTAATGCGTTTCTGTTTGTATGAAATTAAAACAAGAGGTAAAACTAAGCAGTGATTAGACAGTAACACCAAGGAAGTGATTACAATACTTGTCAGGACAATGGTTAGGATGTAAGAAAGAAGTAGTGATGGGAAGAGGCTAGAAAGGAGATTTCAGGTTATAGGTCATGATCTATTTATTGCTATGAGTAGTAGACACATAAATGTTGATTTTATGATAATTTAGTCTTGATTTTTGTTTTATGCCTGTTCTCTGTATTATATTTGATACACACAAATATTTTTAAAAAGTATATTGGTGACAGGGTAGTTTAGAGGCTGGGAGACCCGTCAGGTGCGTTAAAAAAAAAAAAAAAAAAAAAATCTCGGCTACGAGAAGTGCTCATGCCTGTGATCCCAGCGCTTTGGGAGGCCAAGGCAGGTGGATCTCTTGAGGTCAAGAGTTCGAGACCAGCCTGACCAACATGGCAAAGCCCCATCTCTACTAAAAATACAAAAAAAAAAAAAAAAATTACCCGGTCTTGGTGGCACACGCCTATAGTCCCAGCTACTCACGAGGCTAAGCCAGGAGAATTGCTTGAACCCAGGGAAGTGGAGGTTGCAGTGAGCCAAGATCACACCACTGTACTCCCGCCTGGGTGACAGAGTGAGACTCCAACAACTTTTCAACACTGTCATATACAACCTAACTTTAAGATAATTTCAATTAAATCAAAATTAATTTACTTTTGCTTATTAGACAATCAACATGTAAATTATGAATATTCTCTTAAGGAGTTTGTTCAAGTTTTATTGTTGATATTGTTTCATATTCATTAGGATTTCTTTTCCTAAATTTTCTTTACCTCAAATAATATTTGAACCTCAAATGTTAGATCTGAATTTCCTCTAGTAACTTGCCTTTGACTTCATCGAGCAATCCTAAGTAGTTTGCTGCTCTAAAGGCATACATATTTCACAAACCTGTCTTAAAAATGATGATGAGTAAAGAAGAATTTAGATATTCTATGTCATTTTTAACTACCGAAATGTCTCTTTTTTTAATCTATCATAAAACATGGCTTTTATACTGTCATCCCTCTGCTCAAAAACTTTCAACATTTCACTAGAGCTTAAAGAATAAAAATATGTAATTACCAGATCATAGAACCAAACAAGATCTTCAGATCATCCAGCTCACTCATTACTTTGTAAATAAGGCAACCGAAACCCACCACAGATGTCATGGGGCAAGGCCGCAGACATCATGGGAGTAGATCAGAAAACGGGTTACCTTTTTCTTTTTCCTCCTAGTCCGTTATATTACACTGTATCAAACAGCAAATTTCAAAGCCCATAATTTATGACCTTCCAAATTCAAACGCCCCCATTGATTTTTCAGTGGCCCCCTCCTCCCAACACATATTAGTCCCTAACAACACAATCAAATATATCTACTATATTGCTAATTTTTTTGCTAATTATTTCTTTGGTTTATCAGGTTGGATGAAGGTTTGGTTATGACGGAATCAGGTAATTTTCCTAGACTACAGCCCAAAGAACTAATTTTGCCTAAAACTGAATATATTGGAAAGACATAGAATAGCTCCCCAAGTAAAAGGACTATCTCTTTTACAACCAGATCTTGGTAAGAACATGACTCAGGGCTGCTTTGGCAAACTAAGGCAGAAAAATTAAAAGGCAGCAAACCACTGTGGCACATGGTTACCTATGTAACAGACCTGCATATCCTGCACGTGTACCCCAGAACTTAAAATTAAAAAAAAAATTTTTTTAAAGGCACTCTCTTACATTTTCCTCACAGGAATGTGTCAGGGCAAACCATTTTCCATCTTTGTGTCTCTCTGCTTAAAATTCAAATATAGAAGAATATAGTCTTATTGGTGTAACTTAGGTCACTTGTCCATCCTCCCTTGGCTCAGGAAAGTGATGTATCTTTACTGACAGTCCCATCAAAACCATAAATTCGAGGTAAGGGGTGAAATTAGTTCCCTGAAGGAAAATAAAATCTAGGAGCTCCTGCCAGAAGGGTGAGAAACGTTACAAGGCAAAAATAACAGATGTTTACAAAACTCATCCAATTCTAATCAATATGTGAATCCTTTCTACCATGTGTGCCTTAGAAATTCCCAGTTTAGAATTACTAGTTAAGTCTTATAGTCTACACCTTTGAAAGTCTTATTATTACTAGAATACACATAGGTGGTGCATAAAATGTAATTAAAGAAACCAGATGAGGAAAAGAAAAAGTTAATTAAAAAATAAATTTCAAAGTGATGACATATCTTTTCATAGTCTAGTAAAGAGGTAAGCTTTAAAAAAGAAACATGTAAAAGAGAAAGAAAATAACTTTTCAATGGAACAAAGTAAGGGAGATTCTTTGCAGATAATGCCTTCCTGACCTTTCGCTTTAAATTTTCACTGCCAATACTTGGTTAATTCATTCACGTCTTGCTTTGGTGGGTGAGAATCCCACATAACTCACAGCTGCCTCGCCCAGCCCCTCCTGCTCTCGATGCTGGGCTCTTGGACTCTGTCCTGTGCAGTCCACAGCACTCCAGATGCATCTGGGAACCATGCCATGAGCCTCACTCACCATCCCAACATGATTTTACAGCCTTATGGTGAAGCATTATACAGCGCTATAGAGCCTCGATAACATTTTTTAGTCACAGTAATAATGACGTATGGCACTGTCTTCATAACCCTTCCATTTGGGAGAAAACAATTTTCTACTTATTATCTTAAAACATGGGGGCTGAGTGACTGCTGCAGCTTCTGAAACGCACACTCAACACTAATGAGCACTAGCCTACAGTGACCTATTCAGAATGGAAGGCTCACAGTGTGACATTCTGTTTAAGTGGGCTAAATGATTGGACATCAGTCACAGGAGTTTAAAGGTCTGAAGAGATGGCAAAATATTATTAATTCAATATCTCTTTAATGCTAAAAAAGTATGGCCATGGGGACCCTTTGACAATTTCTTGGGCTATCAGAATACCTAATTGGAGATTAATCTCTAATAACCTCTTAATACCATTCAGAAGTTTAAATGAAGCCCAAACAAGAAAGAAATTGTCAGTTCAGTAGTGTCATTTACAGCTAATGCTATGGAAAACTATTTAATTCATTACAGAGGCAGAGAGGCCCATTTCAATTTTTGCCCTATTTCTATCTGGCCAATTAAATATAGTGCTGGCTAAACACTAAAATTAGAAAATGGGAACTCCTGTGCCCAGAATTGACTTCTTTAAAGACTTTCTGGGCTGATGCCTCAGGTTTCAGACAAACCGTCAATCCCAAGGGCTGCCTTCCTTGTACCCAAGACTAGGTTAGGCCTTCCTTTATAGTACTTAACAGAATTGAAGTTGTACTTTTTTCTTTTAACTGTCATCTATAAAAAAGCAAACTCTGGCCGGGCATGGTGGCTCACGCCTGTAATCCCAGCTCTTTGGGAGGCCGAGGCGGGCGGATCACAAGGTCTAGGAGTTCGATACCAGCCTGGCCAATATGGTGACACCCCCTCTCTACTAAAAATACAAAAATTAGCCAGGCTTGGTGGCTTGCAATCAACTACTCAGGAGGCTGAGGCAGAAGAATTGCTTGAACCCAGGAGGCGGAGGTTGCAGTGAACTGAGATGGTGCCACTGCACTCTAGCCTGGGTGACAGAGCAAGACTCCATCTCAAAAAAAAGCCAACTCCATAAGGTCAGGTTATTTATCTTTCTTGCTCATGTATCTCAACACCTAGAAAACTGCCTGGCTAAATAAGTAGATATGGTTTTATTCATTAAAAAAAGAATGAATGAATAAATGAATATACACCGAGGTCTCATTTTAAAATTGATTGTGAATGTCACACATTTGCTCCTGCCCTACAAATATTACTCTATTAGCACATCATGTTTGAAGCATGAAAGTGTTTTTTATACTTTTCTACTATTTTAGCTTTAGAGAAGATGGATCTATGGATCATGGGGTCCTGTGTGTAATTCCAGATCTACCTCAGGAAATAGGTACAAAAGGAAAGAAGGAACCAGACCCTGGCTTTCTTCATATTCCCCAAATTTGCGTAATCCTCATGGTCTCTTACCACCCCTCACTGCAGTTTCATGTATTCTGTGGGGAAGCTGCCTTTGGTCTCTGGAGTAAGGAACCCCTGGGCAATGACCAGTCATTCCCACATAGCAGGGAAAAATCAGTGTGAAAAAGAGACCCACCCTCATTTTTTGACATTTGACCACTTACTCTGAAGACTCACTTTTCCCTTTTCTGCTAGCCCCACATCTGGACAGGCTGATCAAAAAGCCCATACATGCCCCTTCCTTGGGCCCCGGTGGGAAATTCAAATCTAGCCAACCCCCAGCCTTATCCCCTAACCTCTATGAAGGTTCAATCCCCTCCTTCTGCCTTGACCAAGCCAGCCTGGATCTGTTTGTGCCCACCCTGCTCTCCCCAGGTATCCCTTGTAAGAATAATAAACTTGCTTTCAAATTTCCTAAAATTCTCTACATCTTAACTATTAATTGTGAGGCAGTCTATCTTATGCCATGGGGTGTCCACGAAGTAGCCCGATAGAATTCTCTCCATCATTATCTTGTTTTGTACCTCAGAATAATTCAGCTATGTTTGCGATAAGAGTTTATCTCTAGAAGACCCTGGTCAAAATGTGTATTTGACGCAGCATTGCATATTGGTTGAATCCTCAGAGAGAGATTTTAAAGAAAAAGATTTTATTTTTTTAATTTTTTCAGCTTTAGTGAGATATAATTAAGAAATAAAACTACTTAAATTTAAGGTGTACACTGTGAATATTTAATAGATGCATATATTGTGAAATGATTACCATAATCAAGTTAAGTAACACATCCATCACCTCACAGTTACCTTTTACATTATGAGTATGGTGCAACATCTCCCCGTTCCCTCATCCCCCAGCCCTGTAGAAATGGCAATCGCCATTCTACCCTGTGTTTCTGTGAGTTTGACTTTTTTAGATTCCACATATAAGTGAGATCATACAGGATTTGTCTTTCTTTGTCTGATTTATTTTACTTAACATAATAACCTTCAGGTTCATCCATGTTGTTGTAATTGGCAAGATTTATTTCTTTTCTAATGGCTGAATTATGTTCCATATGTTTGTGTATGTGTGTGTGTGAATATATATATGCCATCTGTCAATGGAGGAAAGGTTTTTAAACAATGAGATGTTAATACAACATAGGTTAAAAAGATCCATGGGAACTCTCTGAAGCTGGGACTTGGATATGTGAGAAGACTGTGCAAGAAAAGAAGAGTAGTATCAAGATAGGATGAAGAGGAAATGGAAGGCATCCTCCTGAATTTGCTATTTTGCCTTGGCTACCCTTAATTATAATGATATTCTGGGGTCTTATCACAAAGGATTTGCAAAGGCTTGCTTTCTAAGTCCTATGCTAATATGCATAATTTCCTTCCTACTTTCCTTTCTTTCGTTTCTCTTCTGCAAATTTTTAGTCAATGTGAAGCATTGACCAAGGAGCTATTTGCTCTTTTGGCATCAGGAAATTTTTTCGTTGGTTGCCTGAACCATCCATCAAGAGGCCACTATTGCCCCAAAGAGAAGTTGCCATGGATACCAAATTTGTGGATGTAAGTTTAAAAAGTCAAAATCCAGACAAAACTAAGAAAAAAATGTGAAAAATATTTGCCAAGTCAGTTAATTCAGCTATGATCTCTGTGAGGCAATAGGAGAGCTGAAGTTAAACATGGTCTGCCATATGCCCTAGTAGACAACAAACCCCACTGTGTTTCTAGAACCAACATCTTGGGAAGAATAGAGCATGCCTAAACAAATCAGCCCCAACCCATGTCACATGGCATGGGGGGATGCTATTTGTTTTCTTGTATAATAAAAGGTGATGACACTGTGACGCTAAGAACTAGCAGACATGGAGAAATTTCAGACATGATGCAAAGACGCCAAAGAAGAAAAGAGTTTGCCCTGGTGGTTAGAGTATGGGTCTGAACAAGGAAGCTTGAGCAAATACCAGTAGGATGTTCAGGAAATCAGATGCACCTGGAGATGCTGGTCGGCATGGAGTAGAAGGAACAGATACTGGATCAATTGCATTTAATCTTGAAATAAAGGAGTCCACATGGGTCAGACTGAAACTACGTATTTGGTCACCAGGAAGAATGGAAGCTCAAGATAAAGACAAAGTTAAATTGTGGAAAACAAAAACTACATTTTCCCCCTACACATCTGAGTTAGTGGCTGAGAAATATCATCTCTAATATTTCCAATTAATATATCTATGTTAGAAGCTGGTGTTAACTTTGTCTTAAAGAGCCCTTTCAACCAAACATTTACTGAAATATCACTGACTATTTTACTAAATAACATTCTGAAGGCAAAATGAGAAAGTCACCAAGGACAAACTGTGTCCTCTGGTAGATTCTGCATAAATGATTTTGGTTAGCTTCCTTTCATCAAGATTTTCACAAATTAATTCATAAATATTAGCATTTCATTAATTGCACTAATATTAACATTTCACATCAGTGGGGACTTTTAAGCAAATTTCTAATTACATTCAAAAAGTAAAACAAGGAAAAGGTTTTCTAATAATGCTGGCATTAGCAGGCACTAGAATTAGTTTTGTCTTGAGTACACATACATTCCAGTATGAAAATCTGTTGCTCTGGGTTTTAATAATCAATTTTACGGGTATTTTATGAATAACACATACTGAGTATCATTAATTGGCTACTGAATTTCAATGCTCAGGATGAATTTAAACATCAATCCACGTATCTTATGCATCCTTTTAAAAAATCAACAGAAAATCAATTTCAGGGAAGTAAAATATTTTCTACATGCTAATTTAAGTAATCAATAATTCAAGGGAATTATCAGCACAATTTAAGGATATTTTAATTCTGATTTTTTTTCAAAAGAAAATTGTGTCCATGGAATAAAATAAAGCAGGGAGTTCATTTGGGAAAATCATCTTGTTCTTGATTTTAGTAATAATCCAAATAGATACTTCCACTATTTTGAGTTTCACTCACTATTCATTGAACGAAACTTCATGCTAATTAACCATAATTCCATTTGCTTTACATACAAACTGTTCTCACACCAGCAACATGCTGTAGTAAGTAAAATAATATTTTATTTGTTTAAAGATCCCTTTTATAGACATTCCCAGGTTTTAATGAAGTGTTAATCTGGGAAACAATGACATCGGCGTTTCAATTGGCATAAATAATTTTGTTTGTTTTATCCCACATCATACTCATTTAAATTTCCATGGAGAATTCTCAAATAACTTAAGAAAAAACTTAATAAAAAATAACAAACATAAAGGTAATTTTAAAAATATATTTGCATTTGACCTAAATCCTCATTAATACTTAAAACGTCAACTTTTTTGGTATCAATGTTTTCATAATTTTGTGACTTTTTTTCTGAAATGTTTAAACCACTCATGAGGAAGTAGTTGGCAATTTTTTTTGAAACTTTTAAACCTCATGAGTATTCTTTTAAACTCTTTCTCCTTATTATGCTTCAGCCAGATGAGCCATTTGTTCAATCCTTGTCCTTTGCACACGCATATCATTACTCTAGCTAATTCCTAATTTTGAAAATCTCATGGGAAAAAAAATTTACTCCTCAGAATCTTTCCCTGCCCTTTTCATCTGAATTAGATAAGTCTTCTCTTTTTCTTTGATGGCATCCAACTCTTCATCTTCTTGTCATGTATTAGATTTGCATTATGTATTTTTGTGTGTATTTATTCTATCTACACCCAGCTCTCAGACTAGACTAAATCTAAGAAAACAAGGACACTTTCTCTTTTGATTTACTGATAGGTAATGAGAAATGTTTGGCACATAGTTGGAACTCAATAAATACAGAGAGAATGAATCAGTGAGTAAAGGAATGAATGAAACTCAATAGGCTACAGGAAAATCTGACTTACTACGTTACATAGAACCTAGCACAGCATCACTATACCATAACACAATAATGGATATTCATAATAATGTTCCTGAGCCCTGTGGAATAAAGCTAAACTATGTTCAACATATTCTGTTTAAGAAAGCAGGAAATTTTTTTTAAATCTATAATAAAAATTTTCATAAAAATTTTTGCAATAGCTCTTAAAAGGAAGGCCTCAGCTATGGGGAAAATGTACACATTGTAAAATGTCTTATATATCTAACCAGTTCCATGTGCATTTTGCATTATTAGAGTCACTTTTTCCCTCTCAAAATCTAAATATTGACTCCTTAAGAAGATGCAGTTAACAGCTATAGAGCTGGGAAAGTTCTTCTTGAACTTTAAATTTTAGCAGCAGCTTGCTAGATAACAGCGAGAAAGGAAACTGGAAATTTATGAACATTAATTGAAACTCATAGCCTGGTCAAATACTGCAGACCTAATGCTTCTCAATTTTTTTCCAATTAATTATTCCAGGTTTCTCATGTACAAGGAGGAAAAGAGGCCAAACACGGAAACCCCATGCAGTGACTGCCTCCTTTGGATCAGCATGTTATGAAAAGTCGGTACCTGCCATTCTGATTGACTGAGAGCAACAGAAAACCCCTGAGGCCTTCCGGTTCAGTTGGGATTGTAATGATAGACCAGCAAGACAAAAGCCTGCCAGAACATTAGCTTCAACTGTATGACAATGCCCTTCCCAAGAAGATATGATGCTGTGTAGATGAATATAGATTGAAAACGTGGATCCTGTCAGCAGCACTGATTTCACTCAGAAAACTTGTATACTGGGAGGATGCTGTGTCTGCTCAGGGTTAGGACTCCAGCAATGTGTGAAAAATTCATTTTCCCAGCTGCAAACACTCATGCTTCTAGTTGTACAAGTGGTAACTTGAGGGTCCACGCTAATGTTGAAGCTTAGACAGAAATAGGTGTGTGTGTGTGTGTCTATCCCTGCTACGAATGAGCAGGTACTTCTTGGCCTAATCGTAGGGCATGGGGGAGGATCCACACATTGCTCAAAAATAAAATTTCTTTCTGGAATTCTTGTAGCCCTTACTTTCCAAATGCACCCTGATGCCATGAAGTAATTCATTTTCCTCTCTTCCATAGAACAGACACAGTTATCATCATTTTCATTGTTTCTCTGACTGATTCCTTCCTTCTGACTCCACAGAGCAGAAAATTTACACTCCAGAGGTGTAGAGGGGATAGATTTTCCTCTTTTTAAATTATTTCTTCAAATAAGAGATGTGAACGCAAACTGTGTAGACAAATTTCTACACCCTCATGTTGGGATGGTGAATAACATTGACTTTGCAATTAAACAATACTAAGGAGAATTTCTCTTGCTGTGAGAAGGTAAGAAAGCCACCAATAGCTCTAAACATCATTGGCTATTGTATGGATTTAGTGAAATAATGAAACATAAAGTGAGGCACAAAAAAAGCTCCCTATAAATGTTAATTAATGACATGATTATTACTTACAAACACAATGGGAAAACCACCACCATCTTTCAGTCATGCTTACTGATATTTTATTTTATGTACTTAGCAGAAGACAAGGCTAAAGTATCACAACCAAAAATGCCTATTTAAAAAAAAAAGGAGCTAGGGGTGGCACAAAAGTTCATCTGAAATTTCTTCTTCAGTAAAATGGGATGCATGAATTTGTATCTTCACCTTAGAGAAATGGTAAGAAAAAGTACCTTCTGTGACATAACTGTGAAGACACTCTGACATCTGGAATGAGAATGAAATATTTTTCACTAAAAATGTAACTGTCATTGAACTCAGTACCTGTGGGATGTGTATAATTCAGTCCAGCAATTCAACAGTAATTTCTAGTCTTTATATAATATAAATCAAATCTTTTGCATTTTCTTTTCTCATTCCAGTGGAATGAATTGCTTTTTTGTGACTAGGAATAACTGAGTAGAAATGCTGCTTTTATTTTTAGTTTTTGTTGATAGATATTTGTTGATGGGATAAAAACTTGATGATATTCTGACATCATATAACAGGTATATGCAAAATATATAGCATTTTATGTTCTTTTCCCTGTGAGGTGCTGAACTGTTTGCATGTATAAAAAGTTGTTTCAATTTCAAACTTTGAGATTATTGAGGATGAAAGATACTAAATGATCATCTTTCTTTTAGGGAGTTAATGTACATTATCCCAATTTATTATTCACCACAACAAATTTTATTTAATTTTTTGTCTTTCCATACCAACTCAGGCTGTGCCCTGTAAGTCACAGAATTGGGTATTGCAAAATCATTTTATTTTAAGTAGAATCTTTTTATTTTAAAAAATATTTAGTCATTTATTTTATAAGAGAAATCATTATTTGGCTTTGCCTCTTCATTAACTGAGATAGGGAAATAAAAGAAGAGAAAGATAATAAGTTTGTTTTGAACATATTGTGTTTTACATACCTACTTAAATATCAGCCATCTGGAGATGCTTAGCACACTGAGGTATAAATCTGGACCACAGGAGAATAGCATGAACTAAATATGTAGAAACTGTCACCAGAGGAGACAGTTGAAACCGTAGATATAAATTACAACAATGCTTCTTCCGGAGCTTTAATGTGCACATATAGGAGTCACCTGGGGATCTTGTTAAAAGGCAGATTTGATGTATAGGCCTGGTATAGACGTTCTGCAATTCGAAAGAGCTCACAGGTGATGCTGACGCTGTTGGGTGGCAGATCACATTGTAAGTGGCAAGAATTTAGATCATCCAGGGAAAAGTGTAGACTGAAAAGAGTAGATAAGTAGGACAAGACATCAGAACATTATTCAAAGAGGAACCGTGAAAAAGCTTAAAACAGATGAATTAAAGAGAGTTTAAAATGTGCAAATAAGGAAAATAACAGCTAAAAGTTTTTTTTTGTTTTTTTTTTTTAAATGAGACGGAATCTCGCTCTGTCGCCCAGGCTGGAGTGCAGTGGCATGATCTCCGCTCAGTGCAAGCTCTGCCTCCCGGGTTCACGCCATTCTCCTGCCTCAGCCTCCTGAGTAGCTGGGACTACAGGCGCCTGCCACCACGCTTGGCTAGTTTTTTGTATTTTTAGTAGAGACGGGGTTTTACCGTGTTAGCCAGGATGGTCTCGATCTCCTGACCTCGTGATCCACCCACCTCGGCCTCCCAAAGTGCTGGGATTAAGGCGTGAGCCACAGCGCCCGGCCAAAAGAGAAGTAATCTTCAAGAAGAAGTGGGTGGCCAAACAGGGCCAAAGGATATGAAAAACCAAACTGGAGAAGGAAGAAATGAAAAGCCCATATATTTAATAATTAAAAGATCATTTGTCATATATTCTGCCTACAAATCATTGTCAGAAGCATGTATTGTGGATTTTTTCTTGCAGTCTGTGTCTTCCCTATTGATTTTTTTAATAGTGACAATTGTTGAGCAGAGATTTTTAATTTTCGTAAAACCTGATATTGCAATATTTTATTATATGGATAGTGTTTCTCAGTCCCATCTAAGAAATGTCTGCCTACTGCAATGCTGTAAAAAACTTTAAAAAATACTTTCTTCTCAAAGTTTTATGGTCTTGATATCTTTTATGTTTCAGTCCATATTCCATTTTTAATTAATTTGTATATATGGTAGGAGGGAGGGGTTTCCTGCAACTAAGTAATTTTTTAAACAGAATAAAAATGGACAAAATACTTAAGCAAATACTTCACAAAGGGACAGTAAAATCAAGAAAAGGTAGTTCACATCCTTAAATATCAGGAACATGCAAATCAAAACCACAGAGATATTATTATCTACCTGCTACAATGATCAAAATTTAAAAAACTGAAAACACCAATGATTGGCAGGAGGATATAGTAACTAGAACCTTATATGTTGCTAATGAGAATACACAGTTGTACATCCACTTAGGAAAATGGTTTGAAAGCTTCTTATAGAGTTAAGCATACATCTATTCTATGATTCAGCAATTCTATTCCTAGGCATTTACCCAAGAGAAATGGAAACGTGTTCACAAGGAGACTTGTGAAAGAATGCTCATAGCAGCTTTACAGAATCGTTCCAAATTGTAAAAAATCCAAATGTGCATAAACAAGGGAATGGATTAATAAATTGTAGTATGTTCACGACATGAAAAGCACTTGGTAATAAAAAAGGAATAAACTTGCTACACAGAACAACTTGCATGAAACTTAAAGATGTTGTACTTAGTGAAAGAAGCTAGACAGGAAAGTATGCATTGTATGATTCCATTTATTTGAAGTTCTACAACAGGAAAAAAATAATCTATGATGAAAGAAACCACCCTGTCCTCTGTAGTAGCAAGTGTTCTAATTTCTTTCATCACATCTAGAAGATGATATGAGGGAATATTCTGGAATGATACACATGTACTGTATATACATAGGTATGTGGTTTACAAAATATATAAATTATATAACTACTTAAGATCTGTGCTTCTTACTATATATAAATTATATCTTAATTTAGGAAGAGGTAAGAAGTACAAATAGAGTTATTAATTATATTTAAAAGAGATATTTCAGTGAAGTTGTGGAGCAGACCCTGTATCTTGCAAAATAGAAAATCTAGACTGTACTTTTGGGAATTTTATCCTCAAAGGGAGTAAATCATCATACTTGTTTGACTTGAAACATGGTAGTTTTGTTGTTGTTTAATATAGGAAAGGTATGATAAAATTTTTAGAATAATAAAAAAATGAGCAAAAAGGATGAAATTTTTTTTAAAAAAAGTTGTATCGAAGAAGACCCGGGAACTGATGATAGTGCTTGAGAACGAGGAAAAATCATCCCTAAGCTTTGCACACTTGAATCCACATCAGTTAAAGCAAAAAGTGCTTTGTGCCCTTAAATTCTGTTTATAGTTTTTGTTGTTGTCATTTGCCTATAACTCCAACCTACGTTATTACAGTTAAAAGCCAAATGCATATCTGCTTAAAATCATTTTAGGAGTTTTAGAAATTCTTTTGCAAATGTAGTATTTAACAAAATTTATTGTGTTCTCCTTTCCTGTTTTTTTATTTGGTGAACCACTCGTTTGGTGTTGAGAAGATGAGAAAATTGTTATTCAAGCTCAAGGAACACAGATATTATGCAAGCTTAAACTTCACAAGAAAGGAAGATATAATACTTCAATGCCCTTGGCATTTTACTCATAGTGGTCTCAACTTCTTTAGGATTGTCATAATAATTCTGAAAGCAAAGGTCCCAATGGCAGTTGGTTTTCATGTCCCCCTATCTGAAGCAAAAGGTGCTCTGGGGCCTACTGTATTTTAAAATAAAACATTACCTAAAATAATTCACATTTAAGAATTTTATGAAAGCTTCCAGGATAAAGAAATAGCTTGGGTGCAACAAAAACAGAAACAACAACAACAAAAAAAGCAAGGTTGGGGATCCCTGCATAGCAAGAAACACCTTTTATATTGCTGTATCTGAGATAAACAGTAAGAAAACTATTTAAGTTTTAAATTTAGTTATAATCTATTTGAATGTGATACTGTTGAACCCAGGCTGCCATAAACCACCCTGGGGCCTTCTGCAGTGAACAGATATAGCAAGTGACCCCTTGCTAATATTTTTCAGGGGCTCAGACTTTAATCTATTAAATATTTTATTTCCTAGTTTTATATTATTCTTTAGGGGACTGCGAGGATTTACATGGTGTTCCTCTCTGTTATTTTATGTAGCCTTTTAGATATTGAATCCATTGTACTTAACACAAACAGTATTATCTTATTCATACTAATCTGTCAATTTATATAGGGGATTTGAGTAGAATGCAAGCCTATAGGGAGAATACTATATGATATTACACAAACACAAATAAATTAATGTTCCCTATCCTTCAGGAAAATATAGGGGGTTTCCATCAAGGTAGTTTTTTTCTGAGAATGAGAACCTGAAATTTTGAAAAGAATTTATAACACAGTGATTAGAATACTGGTTTTGGGGCCAGATTAATGGGGTTTAGAAGTTGCTTTGCCTCTGTGTGTCTCAAATTATTCATCCATGCAATGGAATTTTTTTTTTTTTTTGAGACAGGGTCTCACTCTGTTGCCCAGTCTGGAGTGCAGCGGCACGATCATGGCTCACTGCACCCTCAACTTCCCGGGGCTCAGGTGATCCTCCCATCTCAGTCTTCCAAGTATCTAGGATTACAGGCATCTGCCACCACTCCCCGCTAATTGTTGTATTTTTGGTAGAGACAAGGTCTTATCATGTTGCCCAGGCTGTTCTTGAACTCCAGGGCTCAAGCGATCTGATCACCTCGATCTCCCAAAGGGCTGGGATTGCAGATATGAGCCACTGTGCCCAGCCCTGTGCAATGGGATTTAAAATAGTAGCAACAGCTACCTCACAGAGCTTCTGTGAGGAATGAATAAGATAAGTACTGCTGAGAATACTACTTTGCCATTGTAGGTACTCAATAAATATTAGCCATTATTACTGGAGTGAGGATAAATGACTTCTTGCTTCCAGCAGCTGCTCTACTTAACCAAATTGTTGTACACACCCATACCGACACACAAACACAACACTGGATTAAGTTCTAAGATATGTTTGAATCCACACAGTCATGGCTCTGGATTAAGGACTCCTCTACACACAATTGTAGCTAAACTGCATTACTTCTTCCATTAATCAATGGATAATTTATTTATCAAATGCCTCATGGCTCAAGTAAAATTTCAAATTTTTAAGCACACACCATACACAATCATCCCCGATTGCTCTCCATGGTTGCTTTTAAACCCATCCCCTTTTCTGAAATACTGGAAAGAAAGGGACTCTTCTTTATTAAACACGTTGGTTCCCATTTTGTTTCATAAGGTGGCTATACTCATTATTTTTAGGAGCTCTCCAGTTCTCCATTCAGTGCATAGACAGCTCCCTGAAATATTTAATTACTGATCATGCTATCCTCCTGATCTTCTTTTCTCCTTGGTCTATGCACCCACGGCTGATTTGCATCTTCTGTCAAAGTCCCTACAGATGAAACTATATGTCCGCCCCCCAACCCCACTGATTTATATGTATATATATAAACTCCTATTCTTCAAAGAATGCCAGTTAGAAAGGTTGTTAATCACCACATGCTTGTTCTGAATTGTATTGTTCTGCGTTGCATCATGCAGCTTGATTGTAAGCTCCACGGGGCAGAGCCTTTGTTTGCCATGCCCTGACTATTGTTCAGCACAGTGCACATTGATGGGACTATAGAAAAAACAAACAATGGCTTTTTCCACGTTTCCATTTTAATTGTCAAATGGGATGGTTTAAAAGCACAATTCACACAAGAAGTTGAGTATACAGCCTCTGAAATGCCTAAAATA
Source organism: Homo sapiens (assembly GCF_000001405.40). Lineage (NCBI taxonomy): Eukaryota > Metazoa > Chordata > Mammalia > Primates > Hominidae > Homo > Homo sapiens. The sequence continues at coordinate 166,166,078 of NC_000005.10, read as the reverse complement.
AGCCATGTGAGCTTTAGAGGTTAAGGCTATCTTTTTAAAGTGTAACTTTCAACTTCTGTTCATTTGCCATTCTTTTTCTCTGAAAATTACCTGAAAGTCAACCATGCATATCTAAATGATTGCAGGTAAGCTTAGCTCATGTGACTTGGGGGAAAACTAACTGAGCATAGAATCTAGTACTCAAATATGCTTGGCACTGCCAGAATTACAGGGATCGCAAACAATCTGTTAAAGGATTTCACAAGCTGGCTCTGTAAAAGGTACCATTTCCCAGCAAAGACCACAATTAGCACCATGGACAGCAGACGGTACAGTCTAACCTGTGTTTTTTGTGAGGGAGCAATTACAAAATAAGAAAAAAAATCGACAGGTAATCTCTTGCCAAAGCACAATTTGCATTATCTCTAGGAAACGGCAAGCATAGCAGTTCAGGCAGTTGCCAAGTGTTTTAACTGCTTCTGCCTGACATTAATTCCTATTGCACATCTCCTATAGCACAGTTGGGATAGTTTTAGTGCATCTTTGGATTCCGTATCTTACTAAACAGAGTGCTGACTGAATGGTCAAAGATCTAGATGAACTCTAAAAAATACCAATATTACAGATGACAGACATGTAAACACCATAAACATAAAATCAGATCCCAGGACAATTGACTTATAAATGGATGTATCATACAGGTCTAAATGCACGGCTTCTCTAAGGTCTAATACATAAGCACAGACAATAAGTCTATGTTTTAAAATAAGTTCATAGCCATATGTTTTAGAAATTCCTATATCAGTTTATTTGATTAGTAGTGATCTTTTATCTCTGAAGACAGAATGATAGAATGTGGAGTTTTCTATAATTTCTGTATCCTAATTATTTCCCAGGGCATTTGTCAAAAGCAGAATCTCAGACTCCACTCCAACTATTAATACAGATCTTCTAAGAGAGAATCTTAGATATCTCTGTTTCTAAAAACCCTCCCGGTTGATTCTTATTGATTAGGCAATGGTGCTGGAATAGTAAAATGGTAAAATGAAATTGGAAACATCAAGCACTGGTTTCTTGTTTGCATTGTTTGGATACTGACAGACACCTGCCTGTAGGCCTTGGGTCAGTTATTTTAGCATTTGAAACCTCCTTTTTCTCAAACAGGAAAAGAAGGATCTAGATTGGGTATTCTCTATGGTACTTTTTTACTCTAACATTCATTCTAGGATTCCAATTAAGAAGATGAGCTGGATCATATTGTTTTCTGATTCATCTTTACATATCTGAGAGATTAAGTAAGCTTGCCAAGAACAAAGCACATTTGCTTTGTTGTTTCTCTTGATACATATAACTCAAGGCTAATTTCCCTACTGCATGTCAATGCATTAACACTGATGTAGGAATAAAACCTCCTTGAGAAATTTGGATTGTGGGGGTGTTTGGAAGGGGGAAAGCAATAAGTAAAAGTGTTTGATACAAAGATTAATTTAGGTTTTAGCAGACTCTTAGAAGGCTCTTTAAACATCTATTCATGATATGGCCACAAGCCCCTGGAGAGTCAAATAAATTATTCTAAGATTCTTTCATAAGATAATGGAGGCTAATTTGAAGAAGTAAATAGTAATTGCAATATTAAGCAATTCAAACCACTGTTACAACTATTTCTGGAACTCCCCATGCTGACAGATTTATTTGATGCTAAGTCCTTTTCCCTCATCTTTTAAAAAGCATTTTACATAATCCGGCATTACCTATTTTACATATGTGGCATTTTGCTTAGCATTAAAGTAGTTTATTTGAGAAGATTCTTTACAGACTATTCTGGGGAACAGCCTGCTACCCTCTTCATGTAGACGCAAAAGATGCAGGGATGCTTGTTTAAATGTGGTTTCTCTTAACAGCTTGTAGAGCTAGGGAGCAGAACAAGAGTGTAAACATTATTAAAATAATCTATAGTGCCAAATGCAAGGAAGCAAATGCCAAAACTTCTCCAAAAGTAGCATGGAATTGACAGAGAATGCATACTCCAGTATTTACACTCTTGCTTTACTATGACTTACCAAGGTTCATGCACCAGCCACGTGTACTCCTCCTCTTACAACAGGTGTTTCTAGTCAGTAATCCAGTGGAACACAGTAAATAAAGACCCAGGTAGGCCTAGTAACCCACAGATTTGCTTTAAGATTTTAATAGTCTCCTTTGCTTTTCTGGTCTTTGGGAAACATGCATGCATGCGCGCACACACACACACACACACACACACACACACACACACACACACACAAAGTTGTTTGTATAAAACCAATTCATTCCCATTGTTTGCCGGAATTCAACAATGTTCCAACCCTGACAACAAAGGCATTAGGTAAAAAAGAATGCAATAGATAAAATCTTGTGGATCCCATAAAAAAGAATACAAACATAGGGATTTGTGATAATGCCAAGGACTTTCAATGTAACCACCTCTGCCCTTTGTAAAACACTAGCTGTTCTCCACATGTACATGAATGGAGTTCAAATGCAGAGCTGAGACACAGCTAAGTCCTTGGGATTCTCTTTTGAATATTGTGTAGGAGAGTGTAGTGAGGAGTATGGAAGCCGTTTCTGCTAGGCATGAATTTTAATCTATACCCCGTGGCCTCCTAGAGTTCTGAAGGTTTTGTACGAATGAGACAGGAATTTACCCGTGCCCTGAAAAAAGATGATGTTATAGGCCATTTTCCTTGGCAACAGGATATGTATGTGGTCCCTCCAAGGAGACTAACCGTGCCTGACAGCTGGTGAGTCTCGTGCTACTTGAATTGGTTTACTAGTAGTTAATCCAGTTCCAGGCATTAATTGACAGTGGCTGGATGTGACAGGGCTATTTTGGCTTTCCTTTTTTACTATAGAATCTAAAAGATAAAAGAAAATTACTGAGGTTGCTGGTTACAAGTTTGGATAGCTCATTATAAAATCTCTTTCGAGATATAGAAAATCTTGTTCTCTGCAATTTTTTTTGTATCACTACCTAATTTTTAAAACTAAAGTCTTGGCTGTTCTAATTTAGTACAAACTTATCCATCACTTCCTATTGTCAATTGTGGAAATACTGTTATGTAGTAAAAATTTCTTAAATAGGTTTTAAGCTCCTAGAAGTTAAGTTAGAGCTAACATATTTCTGGACACATAGTTGTCATATATTGAATTAACAAATAAATACTGACAATGTGAACAATAGTGATGAAAATGTTTTTGAGTGTGTCAGGCATATATTACGTATTTTATTTGCATTATTTCATCTGATTTTCAGAACAACCAAGTTAAATATTTTTTCATAAAAATTAACAGGATAAGTAATTTGCCTAAGATCCCATAGTAAATAAGTAGCCAGGAAACCAGTCATGTCTTGCTACTTATTTATAACTTTAAAATGTCTTATGAAGAACTTATATCTGACTACTAAGATTCATGTAAATGTACAGATGAAAAAGTACTAGTCATATTTTTCACATTTTATAGTATAATGTTAAGTAAATGAGCAAGATACAGGATACTAGATGTTATATAATTGTATATGCATAAGTATATACACACATACATACAAGTATTTCTTTACACATACACACATTCATGCTTGAAAAATGTGAGCGCACTTTCTTCTGGCTAGTGAAATTGCAAGTGATTGTTTTATGCTTTACACTTATGTCTGTTAGTTTCAAATTTGTATATGTATTAATTGTATAATAAATATTATATTTTTTATTATTATACTTTAAGTTCTAGGGTACATGTGCACAACGTGCAGGTTTGTTACATATGCATACATGTGCCATGTTGGTAATAAATATTTTTAAAGACATCTAGCAAACTAGAACTCTGAGATCAGCAATTGATGCAGTCCAACCCGAGCAGGACTTCATGAAGGAAGGCAATTGAGCTAGTCTAAAAGATTCCATCAGATTTACGCAAATGGAGAATGTAGAAAAAGATATCAACAGACAGGAGAACGCCTTTCCAGCAAAGTCAGAGGCATGCTTTGGAGCATGTTCTAAAGACAAGCACAGGCCAATTTTCCACACCAGATAGTGGCCAGCATATTTTTAAAAAAGTGGGGGAGGATCATAAGTAGAGAGGTATCCCCTATTTCACAGTATTCAGGATGAGTATATTCAGCCTTTCCCCTACCATTCCCATAAAGAAGTCTGGAAATATGTAAACCCTCAACTAAAAACTAATATTCAATTCATTTTCAAAACAGCATGTCAGCCATGTTAGTCGTGGTCCACTATCTTTGCTGTTCCTTTTTCACCCTTACATGGCACAAAGGTCCTGCTAAAGTAGATAGGCATCACATCACACTTTGAAGTCACATCACACTTTGCCTCATCATGTTGCCATATAATCTACATACACTCTACAATTTCTACCATTAGTCATTCCACTGGCATAACAGGAAAAGGCTTTTGCTTAGATGCAATAGGCTTATGCAAAGAAATAGAAAAAAGGAAAGGAATTTAACATGTACTAACAAACTGGTATTTCTCCAGGCACTTTATACATATTTCTGTATTTAGGCCTCACATATCACTTAAAATGTTTCTGGTTTCTGTGTTTGTTTGTTTGTTTCCTTTAGAAACAAAGTCTCACTCTGTCACCCAGGCTAGAGTGCAGTGGTGAGATCACAGCTCACTGCAGCCTCAACTTCCTGGGCTCAAGTGATCCTCTTGCCTCACCCTCCCTAGTTGCTGGGGCTTCAGGTATGCACTACCATGCCCAGCTATTTTTTTTTTTTTATTTTTTGTAGCATTGGATCTGGCTTTGTTGCCCAGGCTGGTCTCAGATTCCTGGGTTAAAGTCATGTCCCTGCCTTGGCCCCTCAAAGTGCTGGGATTACAGACACACGCCACCATGCCCAGCCTATTTTTAATCCCATTTCAAAGACAGGTAAACACAGGCTCCAAGGGAGCACTTGATTTGCTTAAAGCTATTTGGTTAGAATATGGGAAAAAAATGGAATCCCAATCTACCTCTGTGCTTTCCAAATCCATGGTCTTTCCATGAGGAGTCATGTTTTGTTGGAAAGAAGTTAGACTTAACGTGGTATTGTAGCATGAGCACAGAAAACCTGAGTTCTGGGACCACTGACCATCTCTCTTTATCCTTGGTGAGATAATAAAGTTCTCTGTAGTTATATCAACTATTAAAGGATGGAATTACACTCTAATAGCATTTCAGGGCCCCTTCTTTTCTAAAACCTATCAAATCTAATTATTTAACGCCACGGACAGTAAACACTTTATAAGAATGACTAAGGCTTATATTGTCTTTAAGTATGTGTCAGAAATTATTCTAAACTCTTTATATATATTATCTCATGGAATCCTGACAATTCTACGGCATAGTTATAACTACTAGATATTATTACCAATATTTTACACATAAGAAAACCAAGGCACACAGCTATTAAGCAACCAAAGGTCACATAAATGGCAAAACAGGGTCCTTAATCCAAAAACTCTGGTACCTTTTGTGCTTGTAGTGGCCATGCAACCATTAGATCTTTGGGTCAAGTTATCCTGAGAAGAGCAAACAGAGAATACACACTTCAATGGAAAATGATCCAGTGCTTAAAGGTGAGCAACCTTGTATAGCCAGAAAAGTATTGTGAGGCTACTGAATAACCAGAGTAGAAAGATCAAGAAGAAAAAAAAGGCCAATGTGCAAACAATTGTCATAGGTTTCACAGTTTGCACAAGCAGTCATAGTTTAATTGTGTGCCATCAGGTAACCTGGAATCCAGTCACATCTGTAGGCAGCAGCCCTCAGATTTTTCAGGGGAAACCATCCTTCCAGTTCTCAAAGGCAGTGGTTCTCACAGTGTGGCCCCTGTATCAGCAGCATCAGCATCACCTAAAAACTTGTTATAAATGCAAATGATCAGGCCAAAAGCCTGACATGCTGAATCAGATGTTCTGGGGCATTTGGCCCAGCAATCTGCATGTTAATAAGGTCTCGTGGGAAGGCTAATATGTGCTACAGCTTTAGAATTACTGTTTTAAGACACGTGGCTTGGCTACATCTAATCTGGATCTGAGTTTTGAAGTGCGCTTTTAAATTAGATGTGGCCAATCAGGCTTAAAAAAGTGGCTGATTCACCCATATGGAGCCCATGAGACACAGTTTTGAGAATCTTATTGGAAATGTTGAGAGGAAATCATATGAGACTGGATTTTGTTATCATTGCTAAGGGAGAGGCTGCTTTGGGAATGGTACCAACACAGAGAAATACAAAGGAGACCAAGGTGGGTGGAACTGTGTGCCATCTTCTATCAATATCTTCGGCATCTCAGAGTCACATCAACACAAACCATGTACAGTCATGTATCCATTTATTTATGTTGCTGCTTCTGCCCAGAATGTTATTCCCACTACTTTGCCTTCCTCAGGCTGAATTAACCATTTACTGTTCTCATTCATGCACCAGTTTTGTCTTATGTTGAACACAACCCTAAAGACATTCCATGGTAGGTAGTTATTTTTGTTTTTCCATACCTCTCCCACATCCAGTGAAAAAACAACCTCCTTGAAGGTAGGAGAGAAACATTTATGTATGTGTGTGTGTGTGTGTGTGCGTGTGCATATATATACACACACACACACACACACACAAATTTATTCCTATATATAATACTATAAGTATAAACACATGTTATAAATATAAATATATGCTTAATATATATTTATGTATATATAATGTTATATATAGGTGTGTGTATATATACCTTTATAATTTATACCTATATAATGTTACTATATGTTACGTATATAATATTACTATAATATAATGTTACCTACATAATATTACTATATAATTTATACCTATATAATGCTACCTATATAATTATACCTATATAATTTTTTACACCTATATAATTTACCTATCACATACCTATATAATATACCTATATAATTTATACCTATATAAATTATAAATTATTACCTATATAAATTATAAATTATACCTATATAAATTATATAGGTATAAATTTTATAGGTATAATTTATACATTTATATCTTAAAATATATTTATTATATAATTTATATATAAAGTATATAATTTCTATTATATAGGTATATAATATATAGGTATTATACCTATATATGATATCTATATAATTTATACCTATATGTTACTACATAAAGTTACCTATATAATATTACTGTATTATAATGTTACCTATATGTTACTATATACCTATATAATTTTACCTATATGTTACCTGTATAATGTTACCTATTTAATTTATACCTATACATTATTCTCCTCCCCATTACATATATACACACACACATACACACAATTATACACATTTATATACTATTTATATATATAAATGTTATATATATAGCAAAGCAACATATATATACATATCTCCCTAGTTCTCCGCATCATAGCAGTTGCTTAAAAATATGTTTGCTGAATAGATAACTTTCCTACATCACCATTGAGATTATTACAATGATCAAATGAGAATAAGACATAGAATAGACTTAGCAAAATATAAAGCTCTATACAAACATGAGTCATATTTATAATTATTAACCTCTTCTCTCGTGGGCTCGTCTTTTCCACAATTGGGCCACCATAAGAAATGACTGGGAAATAAGACTGATAAACCCTGTATATCTGTAACAAATTAATTACAAAAATAACAGCAATTCTTTGCTGTTTCTTGCATGAAATCAGCACACAAATCAAAAAAATTAACCATTGCAATAAAAATATAAAGGACAGGTTGTGGTGTTCTGATTATGCATTACATAGAGATTTGACTTAGTCCGAGTGATTAAGCACCAGAGTGGCACAAGGAGCAACTGAGATGAGGCTTTTAAGCAAAGGAAATGATAGGTGTAAAGGCCCTGCGGCAACAGGTACCTGGTGTGAGGGGTGCTGGAGAGGTAGCCAGAAGTTGTACAGGGTGCTAGGCTAGGTTAGAGAGTGGTTTTTATTCCAAGAGTAATGAGAAACCATGAAAATATGTTAAGGGAGGAATGACATAATCAGATTGCTGTTTTGAAATACTAGCCTGGATCTTGTGGCTTTTACTCAGTTAGCCCAGACCCCACTCTGATACTTTATAGTTTTTATTACTTCAGAATGGTAAGGTTAAAAATGCCATAAGTGTTTGCAACCTTTTAAAAGTTACACTTATTTTCTTTTTCCTTTTACTTGAGCTGTGAAATTTGTTAAATACTTTTAGGTTTGGGAGAGATTCCTGTTACCTGTGCATTATGAAAAATAAAGTTTGAATTTAATAGATTCTAATAACCATTATTTAAGAAAGTGCCTCACACAAAATTAAATTGTGCACACAAAAATTAATATACACATATCTGATTCTTGCATGCATTATAATGTATTTACTAACTTCATTTTTTAATATTTAAAATAAATGTGGACTGCCTAAGGAAAATTAACATTTACAAATTTTTTTTTAAATAATAACTCTGGCAAATCATACACATAAACACCACAGAAGCATGTGTTCTTATCAATTTTGAAATTAGAAATTATAAAACATGGGTGCTTCCAGCCACTTCTTTTACTTGACATCCAATTAAAGTAATGTTGCACTAAAAAGAAATATAGAAATCCCTAAGGAAATTGGAGAGATTGTATACAAAACCTCTTGGCACAATCAATAATGTGCTTTGACTATAGAATTCTTCAGTTTATTCTAGAGAAGTAGAAAGTCATTTGTTACATTTTCCCCCTAGATTCTAGTTATTATGCTAACTTTATATTCTTTTAAAAATTGTTTTGTTTAATTTGGATGTTCCAGCAATATTGTTTGCAGATGTTTGACACTGCCCCGCCTAAATCACAGATTCGACACTCCCACATAATCTTCATGTTTCTCCACTGCCACTTTAGGAACACATGATTGCTATTGTCAGCTACAATTACCACCCACTGCAGAGGTTTGCTTAAGCTGATTAGTTAGAGAAGGTATACATATTTCAGCAGCTTTGAGACAGAGAAAACTATGTATGTAATTCACCATATGATACTTTGTATTCCATTACAACAGAGGAGAAACAAGGTAGAGAAAAACTATAACAGAGGGAAAGGAAGGTATAGACAACCAAGGGATAACGTGAAAGACATGAAACCGCAGTGGGCACCTCATGCCAACTGTGGCCCCATTCTAACTTTGGCCAGCATGCCCTGAGTAAGGGGTCCCCACACTCAGCACTATTGACAATACTTTGTTGTAGGCGGTAGTCCTGTGCAATGTAGGATGTTAGCAGCATCACTGGTCTCTATAAACCACTCCTTCCCACCAGTTGTGACATGCAGTAATATTTCCTGTGGAAGCAAAATTGCTGTTGATTAAGAACCACTGCTCCAGGCCCTCCGAGTTTAGAACAAAGATAATCTGCTTGTCACTCACTTTCCTCCTGAAGTTGGTAGGATCTTCTGGAAAGTATCTAGTTGTGAGACTCCTTACTAGCAAATATGCTTACAATTAGTTCTGACTTCTCAGCCATTATGCTGTCCTGACTCTTCTCCCCAAATCTGCTTATTTAATAAGAATGCTATCAATAACAAAATCAACAAAATGAATAACCAATGTTTATAAAATGGTTAAAATGTGCCAGGCCTTGTTTTCTAAGAAAATTTTATATTAAAAAATATTTGGAAGTGGAGTTATATATATAATTTTGGACTCTATGAGATATCTTTATCTCACATAATCTTTAAACAAAAACCTATGAGATAGATGATATCTTAATTTATAGCTAAATCAATTGGCATTTAGAAATACTAAATAACGTTCTTAGGGGGGAAAACAATCTAAAATTCTGACATCTCTTTCAAGGCCTTTCCGTATCTGGCCACCACTGTCCTCTGCAGACTCACCCCTTACTGTCTGGATCAGCTAGGCTTCATTTCAGTCCCCCAAACAAGCTAGTCAGTCTGTGGGAATCCACATGTGCTGCCCCTGCTCTGGCAGACCTGGTTCCCTGAATTCCCCTACTCACTAACGTGGCTTTTCATTCTCTGGCTTCAGCTTTGACCTGGGTTCTATTAGACAAGCCTCCTCTAGCCCCCATGATTAGGTCCTCCTTTGGAGACTCACTGTACTTGATATTTGCTATTGTCTCTATCTATTTCCTCCATGTGCCCCTGCACTCTCAGAATTAAGGAACTTTTTAGTCCACTGCTATTTCCCCGGTGCTCAACAGTGCTGGGCTGCAAGCTCCCATCATGTTATAAATGTTATCAACTTACCAACTGAATGAATGAATAACGAATTACTATTCCCAAAGCGATTTAGCTCAGAAGTAGTGGAAAAAGGATGTTTTACTTGGATCTCCCTGATTTTGAAGGCAATTCCAAACCTTTTGGGCCTATTAGACCGCACCTGCCTGAAAAGTTCCTCTGTCCTGTTGGCTTCATTTTAGCTCTTCTTCCCAGCTACAAACTGTGTGTGACCTTGTATGAAGGCAACTCGAGACATATGGGTATCATATGATCTCATCTCAGAAATACTAGTGATTAAAATGATTATTTGTGATTCCATAGAACACACACTTACAAAGAGGAAATGGACTATTAAACTGAAAAATCAAAATCAGATGACTTTAATAAAAATCACAACCAACAATGACCCATTTTTAAATTCTGTACTAGATCTTATCAGTTCACATGATAATGAATTTAAGACTGTGGTGCAGTTTAAAATGCCAAGCATCACCCTCTGTGACTGTTAACAAATGGAGTTCCACCATGTGTGAAAATTTCATGATGATACAATCTGTGCTTCCCAATATATTTCAATAGATAGCAAGTGGTTATGGTTAAGACTTTGCTAACCAGTCTTCAGATTTCATTGAACTTCATTGTGATTGGATGACCTCCTCAAATCCAATGACAGGCAATGGCACAATTCTCTGCAAATGAGTGAATAGACATGTTTACAACATCTAAAATGCCTCAAGAAATATGTTTAATTCTGCACAGGCTAACAGCTGTTTGCTCAGTGTACTGTATATAGGATAAAATAATCAAGTCAAAAATAATATATAACTTATTGGAAAAAGATATTAAAGACAACTACTGTGTAAACATCCACTTTGGAGCCAGATGCCAAATGTCAACATTTCAAATCTATGGGTAACTGCAATTTCTGATCTTTTCTACTGCTTGTGGTTTTGTAATTAGTTCACTGGGCATGGATTATTGAAAGGCTATTAATCTAAATTCATGATTTAATTCTGCAATTTTTAAAACCCTCTCAACTGATAGCTAAAGCTTAAGTTCTAGAGCCCAACTTAAAATGAACAAGTGAAAAATGAAAAAATGAAAAAAATGAAAATGAAAAAAAAATCAGCTGACACCCACCTCCAAGAAAAGCAACAATAAAAAATATCTGGAAGGGCACTTCCCTTAACCCTTCACCTTGAGGAATTCAAAGTAATAAATAATATGGTGGTAGTGAAATGACTATAATTCTTTGAGACTAACATACAGTGATGACTTGCATCTCCATAATTGGATTATATATTATCTTACATAAAGCTTTTCCCACTGGTCTCTTAAGTTACTGATACTGCCTGCCACGGCTTACATCTCCTTTGAAAGCAAAGTTAGTATAACTTTTTTTTTATGCTTAAGTACATATTTATACATGTAATACATTATAAAAACATTCTATTAAAAATGCCATTTTAAAGTTAATTTCTCTTAGCCAACTCCCTACTCCCTCTGAATGGGAGGGAAGTTTCCACATCCTGTGTCAATTTATTTTTAGGTTTGTTCACTCCTTTCCCAATCTAAATTTCCTTAGTTAGATATCACAAAAAGTATGTGATAAAGTATTTGTGAAGGGTCGGGTGCGGTGGCTCATGCCTGTAATCGCAGCAGTTTGGGAGGCCAAGGCAGGTGGATCACCTACGGTCAGGAGTTCAAAACCAGCCTGGCCAACATGGTGAAACCTATTCTCTACTAAAAATACAAAATTAGCCGAGTGTGGTGGTGCATGCCTGTAATCTTAGCTACTCAGGAGGCTGAGGCAGGAGAATCGCTTGAACCTGGGAGGCAGAGGTTGCAGTGAGCCAAGATCGCGGCACTGCACTCCAGCCTGGGCAACAAGAGTGAAACTCCATCTCAAAAAAAAAAAAAGTATTTGTGAGGAGGACATCGTAGCCTACAGAGGACTATTAAGTGATGAGTAGAAAAAGGAAAATGAGGCTGGGCATAGTGGCTCACACATGTAATCCAAGGCACTTTGGGAGGCCAAGGTGGGTGGATCACCTGAGGTCAGGAGTTTGAGACCAGCCTAGACAACATGGTGAAACCCTGTCTCTACTAAAATACAAAAATTAGCCAGGAGTGGTGGCAGGTGCCTGTAATCCCAGCTACTCGGGAGGCTGAGGCAGGAAAATTGCTTGAACCCGGGAGGTGGAAGTTGCAGTGAGCTGAGATCACACCACTGCACTCCAGCCTGGGTGACAGAGTGAGACTTTGTCTGACAAAAAAAAAAAAAAAAAAAAAAGAAAGAAAGAAAGAAAGAAAGAAAGAAAGAAAGAAAGAAAGAAAGAAAGAAAGAAAGAAAGAAAAATGAGGAAACAATCTTAATTTATTGAAGACTTACTGCGTGACAATCACAGGCGCTTGCTCCTTAGAAATGTGGTATCATGTAATCACTACTAAATTCCCATAAGATAGGAACTGCGTGATCTTATTTTTTTTTTTCTGGATATTTAGTAAAGTCAAGTAACATGGCCATGATAATCCGATAGATATTTTCAAAATCAAAATTTAAATTCATGTTTATTTTATTTCAAAGCTTATGTTCTTATAGTATATTACCTTGGATCATACAAACATTTATTAAATATCTACCATTCCTATTAGGTGTTAGGCTAAATTTTTAGAGCCCTAAAGAGTTCACAGTTAAAGGAGGAATACAAATTGATGAGTAAAAGGTTATAATAGAAGAGAAATGGAAATTAAGAGGAAAAAATAATAAATATAGATGAACTAAGGAAAATGTATTATTTTATCAGAATGTTCAGTATGACATGTTAGCTTAAAATATATTTTGTCACTATTTTTACATACAAAAAACATAAAAGTAAATGGCCTAGGATGGCATCAACCAGATATTGTTGACGTTAGAAATTACCAGCACTATCAATAAGTCCTGCATATAAGGTAAAAAACCCCTCTAACCAAATAGCTAAACTATAAAACTATGCCCATAAAGCTATTTTGTTAAAAGCTTCCTGTGTAAGTATGTGCATACATATACTTGTGTTTAACTTAATGGATTATTCCATAGATACTTCTGCATCTTACACTTTTTAAAATAAAGTACCTTGTGGCAATCTCTATGTTAATACATTACGGTCTATCACATTTATTTTCATAGCTAAGTAGTCTTCTATTGGACAAAAGTACCAGAATTAATTTCACTAATATCAATTGATAGACATTAAAGTCATTTCCAGCATTTGTTATCAAAAATTATAAATTGAACATCCTGTGAGAGTGTGTGTATGTACATGGGTGTAAATATCAACTTTTTGTGTATATTGGCAAATTATATACAGTAAGATTGCAAGATAAAATATTTACTTATAAATAACCAATTGAGCATGCTATTAAGTAGAATCCCTAATCTCTAAGTAAATTAAAAAAATAGTGATAACTGGAATTGATTTTTTTGTTTCAAATTCAGTTTAGACATCAGTTCAAATTTATTATATTCCACTGATTAATAATCAAGGCAGTTCAAGTCCAATATATTTTTATAAAGATCAAACCACTTACATTTTAAGCTATTTAAAACAATTCTCAAAGCGGAATTGTAGATGTTTGAAACTTTTGTGTTATGTTTTGATTTTCTTTTAAACTGAGTTATAACATGGAAGCCTAGCAAAACCACCTGGTTTCCTCAATAGCTCTAAGTTTTAAAATATTTTGGAGATAAAATTCACCTGATGTAAAATTACCTATTTGAAGTTGAACAATTCAGTGCCATTTAGTGTGTTCACAATATTGCACAACCACTGTCTGTATGTAGTTTCAAAACATTTTCTTCACCCCAAAAGAAAAAAGAATCTGGACCTATTAAATGGTTGTTCCCTATTCCTCCATCCACAGCCTCTGGCCAATTTGTCTTCTGTTTCTATGAGTTTACCTATTCTGAATATTTTATATAGGAAGAATCACAATTGCAACATTTTATGTCCGGTTTATATTCATTAGCATAATGTTTTAGAGATTCATTCATGTTATAGCATGTATCAATATTTCATTCCTTTTCAACAGAAGAAAAAATTCCCACTGGGCTCTGTGGCTCATGCCTGTAATCCCAGCACTTTGGGAGATTGAGGTGGGTGGATCACCTAATGTCAGGAGTTCGAGACCAGCCTGGCCAATAGTGAAATCCCATCTGTGCTAAAAATACAAAAATTAGCTGGGCGTGGTGGTGTCAGCCTGTAATCCCAGCTACTCGGGAGGCTGAGGCAGGAGAATCGCTTGAACCTGGGAGGCAGAGGTTGCAGTGAGCCGAGATAGCACCACTGAACTCCAGTCTGGGTGACAGAGTAAGACCCAACTCAAAATAAAATAAAATAAAAACTACATTGTATTTTTTACAACCATTTCTTTATTCATTATCCCCTGATGGACATTTGGGCTATTTCTTCCTGTTAGCTATTGTGAATAGTGCTATGAACATGTATGTACATATTTATGTACATATTTATTGAGTACCAATTTTCACTTCTTTTGAGTATGTTTTGATTGGGATGTTTGTGTCCTTCCCCCACCAAATTCACATGTTGAAACCTAATTCCCAATGCAATAGTATTAAGAGGTGGGACTTTTAGGGGATGATTAGATCATGAGGGCAGAGCTCTCATGAACGAGATTAGTACCCTTATAAAAGAGGGAACTTGTGTGCCCTTTCACCATATAAGAACACAGTGAGAAGGAACCGTCTATGTTAAACCAAACAAAAACAAAAACAAAAAAACAAAAATAAAAGCAGGAACTCAGTAGACATAAAATTGCTAGCATCCTTGATCTTGGATATTTCAGCCTCTAGAACCCTAAGAAAATATTTCTATTCATTAGCTACTCAACTTATGGCATTTTGTTGTAACAGCTTGAATGTACTAAGACAATAACTTATTTTTTTAAAATACACAATCAAGTCACTCCCATTACTCGACCAGTCAAGTGCTTTATAACCAACTTCGAAGGAGAGCTGTCTATATTTTCTGCCTCCATTTATTCACTTTTTACTTTTTCCTCAACTCATTCTAATTTGTTTTCTGTCTCCATTCTGGATCAAACTAATCACTAACAATTTCCAGTTTTCTCTTATTTCAGTCCTCCTTTTTTTTGCCTCCACAGCATTCAGCACTGTTGATCAATTCCTCTTTTTAGAAACACTGAACTCTCTTGGATTCTATATTCTCTTAGACATTACATTTTCATGCTTTGATTTTATGTCTGGTTGCTCTTTATCATTTGCAATATTAATCTCCTCTACCCAGACTGGCATGTCTTAGGGCAATTCTGGGACATCTTTCTTTTCTTTATATACAGTCGCCCTAAATGATCCCATCTTCAACAGCTTTAAATGTATTCTGATGAACATCTCTGATGCATTTCCAATCATACTTTCTATCCCTTGCCCTCTGCTCAAGTCTCACTAGCTGTTTTTCAGTTCTCCGTGGTGGTTATGCTCCCTCCTGTCAGAAAGATTTTCCATGTGCTGTTAGTCTAGACTACTATTCCATTCTGCCTCAACCTACTCATCTTTTACATGCCTGCTCAGTTGTCACTTCCTCATTTAGTCAAGCCTATTTAACACCACAAAGTCAAGCCTCCATTATGTGTCTTTAACATGACATATTTATTGATATGATTTCACTGTGTCCTCCACCCAAAATCTCATCCTGAATTGCAGTCCCCATAATCCCCCACGTGTCAAGGGAGAGACCAGATGAAGTAATTGAATCATGGGGGTGGTTTCCCCCATGCTGTTCTCATGATAGTGAATGAGTTCTCACGAGATCTGATGGTTTCATAAGGGGCTCTTCTTCCTTTGCTGGGCACTCCTCCTTCCTACTGCCTTGTGAAGATTGTGGCTTGCTTCCCCTTTGCCTTCTGCCATGATTGTAAGTTTCCTGAGGCCTACCCTGCCATGTGGAACTGTGACCCAATTAAACCTCTTTCCTTTATAAACTACCCAGCCTCAGGCAGTTCTTTGTAGCAGTATGAAAACAGACTAATACATTTATCTTCATAACATTTGCCCCATCATTAATATAATTATTTGTTTAATATCTGTCTCTTTCATTAGACTGTAAGTTTCATTAGGGTTCAGGTCTAATTCCTTCATAGACTCCAGATCTATATTTGTTCAACAGGACCTACTATAGTGTTTGGAATATAGAAAACATTCGATAAATATCTGTTGAGTGAATGAAGGAGATAAAGAGGGGGATTCGTGCAATCCGATTTCTCATAAAAACTGAATGGCTTTTAAACAATCATTGATATTGTCATTTATAAATCAAAGAATACTTCTAAGGCAAGTCTTCACTTGTCTCTCAACAATAAAGTTAAAATAAAGGATTTTCTAAATTCTTTTTTCACATACTCTACATGAAATTAAACCATTCTAAGAACGAAGTCAATAGCACCTGTAATCCCAGCTACTCAGGAGGCTGAGGCCAGAGAATTGCTTGAACCTGCGAGGCAGAGGTTGCAGTGAGCTGAGATCTCACCACTGCACTCCAGCCTGGGCGACAAGAGCAAAACTATCTCAAAAAAAAAAAAAAAAAAAACTGCTTTAATTTAAATTCCCCCTTTTTTTACATACATATTTTTTTTGGTTGACAGAAATACAATTGTATATTTTGAAATTTTACTACCTATTTAAATTTTTCAAATAATTTTACTTTTTTTTGCTAATATGAACCTACTATTTCCCTGTTTTCTTTTCCCTAGGAAATAATTCAGAATTTACAATTTGAGAAAGATATATAAAGGAGGAATAGAGTACAATGATTATATCTATTTTCAAATTGCATGATAGGACATGTTCTATTTTGGTAAGGATGTATATCTAGTGATCTTTATTAACAAAAATGTCTCAGACATCTGCTTCTAGGACAGAAAGTGATTTTATGAAAACCTCGCTGTCTCAAGTATGAGTTATCTTTGATTTTATGTTTGATTAATGCATATTTCTAATAAAGTTATTGTAACTGAATTCTGTAAGGTGGAATTTGACAGTTACTTTTGTAAGTAAAGCTAGAGAAATTGTTCTGTAAAATGCCAGTTGAATAGAAATCAATTATTCTAAGGGAAGAATGTGACAATATTTGACAATGCACTCCCCTATTCATAACCACACTAGGGTAGTAAGGCTATTAGGGAAGAGGTACAGCAATTTGTGTAACAGTCAAGAAGATCTCTAAGAAAAACAAAAACAAAAACAAAAACAAAAAAAAACAATAAAAATCCTGATTCTTTTCTTTAGTCTTACCCTCAAAATGAGTAGGTACTGAAATCAGGTATACACTTTTAAGATCTATTGGTCATATTTATCTTAAAGATATGTTTTGAATGGCTTTCATAGATGTTGAGGGAGCAGGTCTTCATTACTTCTTAAAAATTTTTTAACTGACATGACATGATTGGACATATTTATGAGATAGAGTATATTTTGTTACATATATGACGTGTAATGACCAAATCAAGATAATTGGCATAAGCATCACCTCAAATATTTATTATTTCTTTGTGTTGGGGACATTCAAAATCTTCTCTTCTAGCTGTTTGAAAATACATAATAAATTAACGTTAACTATAGTTACCCTACAGTGCTATAGAACACTAGAAGTTATTCTTGCTATTTAGTTGTAATTTTGTATCCATTAACACAATTCTCTCTACCCCGCATCCTTCCTACATTTCCCGGCCTCTAGTAAACAAAATTCTACTCTGTAGTTCTATGAGCTCAACTTTTTTAGTCCCCACATTTGAGTGAGAACATGTATTATTTATTTTTCTGTCTGGCGTATTTCATTTAACATAATGTCCTCCAGGTTCATCCATGTCTCTGTAAATGATAGAATTTCATTGTTTTTTAATGACAGAATAATATTTCATTGTGTATATATATACCACATTTTCTTTATTCATTCATCTGTTGATGGACATTTAGATTGATTCCATACCTAGGCTATTATGAGTAGTGTTGCAATAAACATGTGCACATATCTCTTATATATACAGATTTCCTTTCCTTTACATAAATACCAAATAGTAGGATTACTGGATAGTATGGTAATTCTATTTTTAGTTTTATTGTGAAACCTCTATACTGTTTTCCATATGGCTGTACTAATTTATATTCCCACCAACAGTGTATAAGAGTTCCTCTTTCTCTGCATCCTTGCCAACATTTGTTATTTCTGTCTCTTTGATAATAGCCATTCTAACTAGGGTGACAAGAGATCTCATTGTGGTTTTAATTTGAATTTCCCTGATGATTAGTGATGTTGAGAATTTTTCATATAATTGTTGGTCATTTGTATGTCTTCCTTTGAAAAATGTCTATTCAGATCCTTTGCCCATTTTAAAATTGGGTTATTTGCTCTTTTACTGTTTAGTTGTTTGATCTCCATGTATATTCTGAACATTAATCTTTTGTCAGAGGAATAGTTTACAAATATTTTCTTCCATTCTACGGGTTGTCTCTTCACTTTGTTGTTTTCTTTGCTGCACAGAAGCTTTTTTAGTTTTTTTTGTTTCTTTGTTTTTTTTTTTAATTTTTTTTTTCTTTTCTTTTTTTATTATACTTTAGGTTTTAGGGTACATGTGCACATTGTGCAGGTTAGTTACATATGTATACATGTGCCATGCTGGTGCGCTGCACCCACTAATTCGTCATCTAGCATTAGGTATATCTCCCAATGCTATCCCTCCCCCCTCCCCCCACCCCACCACAGTCCCCAGAGTGTGATATTCCCTTTCCTGTGTCCATGTGATCTCATTGTTCAATTCCCACCTATGAGTGAGAATATGCGGTGTTTGGTTTTTTGTTCTTGCGATAGTTTCCTGAGAATGATGATTTCCAATTTCATCCATGTCCCTACAAAGGACATGAACTCATCATTTTTTATGGCTGCATAGTATTCCATGGTGTATATGTGCCACATTTTCTTAATCCAGTCTATCATTGTTGGACATTTGGGTTGGTTCCAAGTCTTTGCTATTGTGAATAATGCCGCAATAAACATACGTGTGCATGTGTCTTTATAGCAGCATGATTTATAGTCATTTGGGTATATACCCAGTAATGGGATGGCTGGGTCAAATGGTATTTCTAGTTCTAGATCCCTGAGGAATCGCCACACTGACTTCCACAATGGTTGAACTAGTTTACAGTCCCACCAACAATGTAAAAGTGTTCCTATTTCTCCACATCCTCTCCAGCACCTGTTGTTTCCTGACTTTTTAATGATTGCCATTCTAACTGGTGTGAGATGGTATCTCATTGTGGTTTTGATTTGCATTTCTCTGATGGCCAGTGATGATGAGCATTTTTTCATGTGTCTTTTGGCTGCATAAATGTCTTCTTTTGAGAAGTGTCTGTTCATGTCCTTCGCCCACTTTTTGATGGGGTTGTTTGTTTTTTTCTTGTAAATTTGGTTGAGTTCATTGTAGATTCTGGATATTAGCCCTTTGTCAGATGAGTAGGTTGCGAAAATTTTCTCCCATTTTGTAGGTTGCCTGTTCACTCTGATGGTAGTTTCTTTTGCTGTGCAGAAGCTCTTTAGTTTAATTAGATCCCATTTGTCAATTTTGTCTTTTGTTGCCATTGCTTTTGGTGTTTTGGACATGAAGTCCTTGCCCATGCCTATGTCCTGAATGGTAATGCCTAGGTTTTCTTCTAGGGTTTTTATGGTTTTAGGTCTAACGTTTAAATCTTTAATCCATCTTGAATTGATTTTTGTATAAGGTGTAAGGAAGGGATCCAGTTTCAGCTTTCTACATATGGCTAGCCAGTTTTCCCAGCACCATTTATTAAATAGGGAATCCTTTCCCCATTTCTTGTTTTTCTCAGGTTTGTCAAAGATCAGACAGTTGTAGGTATGCGGTGTTATTTCTGAGGGCTCTGTTCTGTTCCATTGATCTATATCTCTGTTTTGGTACCAATACCATGCTGTTTTGGTTACTGTAGCCTTGTAGTAAAGTTTGAAGTCAGGTAGTGTGATGCCTCCAGCTTTGTTCTTTTGGCTTAGGATTGACTTGGCGATGAGGGCTCTTTTTTGGTTCCATATGAACTTTAAAGTAGTTTTTTCCAATTCTGTGAAGAAAGTCCGAATAGGAACAGCTCCGGTCTACAGCTCCCAGCGTGACCGACGCAGAAGACGGGTGATTTCTGCATTTCCATCTGAGGTACCGGGTTCATCTCACTAGGGAGTGCCAGACAGTGGGCGCAGGCCAGTGGGTGCGCGCACGGTGCGCGAGCCGAAGCAGGGAGAGGCATTGCCTCACCTGGGAAGCGCAAGGGGTCAGGGAGTTCCCTTTCTGAGTCAAAGAAAGGGGTGACGGACGCACCTGGAAAATCGGGTCACTCCCACCCGAATATTGCGCTTTTCAGACCGGCTTAAAAAACGGTGCACCACGAGACTATATCCCACACCTGGTTCTGAGGGTCCTACGCCCACGGAATCTCGCTGATTTCTAGCACAGCAGTCTGTGATCAAACTGCAAGGCGGCAGCGAGGCTGGGGGAGGGGCGCCCGCCATTGCCCAGGTTTGCTTAGGTAAACAAAGCAGCCAGGAAGCTCGAACTGGGTGGAGCCCACCACAGCTCAAGGAGGCCTGCCTGCCTCTGTAGGCTCCACCTCTGGGGGCAGGGCACAGACAAACAAAAAGACAGCAGTAACCTCTGCAGACTTAAATGTCCCTGTCTGACAGCTTTGAAGAGAGCAGTGGTTCTCCCAGCACACGGCTGGAGATCTGAGAACAGGCAGACTGCCTCTTCAAGTGGGTCCCTGACCCCTGACCCCCGAGCAGCCTAACTGAGAGGCACCCCCCAGCAGGGGCACACTGACACCTCACACGGCAGGATATTCCAACAGACCTGCAGCTGAGGGTCCTGTCTGTTAGAAGGAAAACTAACAAACAGAAAGGACATCCACACCAAAAACCCATCTGTACATCACCATCATCAAAGACCAAAAGTAGATAAAACCACAAAGATGGGGAAAAAACAGAACAGAAAAACTGGAAGCTCTAAAAATCAGAGCGCCTCTCCTCCTCCAAAGGAACGCAGCTCCTCACCAGCAACAGAACAAAGCTGGATGGAGAATGACTTTGACGAGCTGAGAGAAGAAGGCTTCAGACGATCAAATTACTCTGAGCTACGGGAGGACATTCAAACCAAAGGCAAAGAAGTTGAAAACTTTGAAAAAAATTTAGAAGAATGTATAACTAGAATAACCAATACAGAGAAGTGCTTAAAGGAGCTGATGGAGCTGAAAACCAAGGCTCGAGAACTACGTGAAGAATGCAGAAGCCTCAGGAGCCGATGCGATCAACTGGAAGAAAGGGTGTCAGCAATGGAAGATGAAATGAATGAAATGAAGCGAGAAGGGAAGTTTAGAGAAAAAAGAATAAAAAGAAATGAGCAAAGCCTCCAAGAAATATGGGACTATGTGAAAAGACCAAATCTACGTCTGATTGGTGTACCTGAAAGTGATGCGGAGAATGGAACCAAGTTGGAAAACACTCTGCAGGATATTATCCAGGAGAACTTCCCCAATCTAGCAAGGCAGGCCAAAGTTCAGATTCAGGAAATACAGAGAACGCCACAAAGATACTCCTCGAGAAGAGCAACTCCAAGACACATAATTGTCAGATTCACCAAAGTTGAAATGAAGGAAAAAATGTTAAGGGCAGCCAGAGAGAAAGGTCGGGTTACCCTCAAAGGGAAGCCCATCAGACTAACAGCGGATCTCTCGGCAGAAACCCTACAAGCCAGAAGAGAGTGGGGGCCAATATTCAACATTCTTAAAGAAAAGAATTTCCAACCCAGAATTTCATATCCAGCCAAGATAAGCTTCATAAGTGAAGGAGAAATAAAATACTTTACAGACAAGCAAATGCTGAGAGATTTTGTCACCACCAGACCTGCCCTAAAAGAGCTCCTGAAGGAAGCGCTAAACATGGAAAGGAACAACAGGTACCAGCCGCTGCAAAATCATGCCAAAATGTAAAGACCATCGAGACTAGGAAGAAACTGCATCAACTAATGAGCAAAATCACCAGCTAACATCATAATGACAGGATCAAATTCACACATAACAATATTAACTTTAAATGTAAATGGACTAAATGTTCCAATTAAAAGACACAGACTGGCAAATTGGATAAAGAGTCAAGACCCATCAGTGTGCTGTATTCAGGAAACCCATCTCACGTGCAGAGACACACATAGGCTCAAAATAAAAGGATGGAGGAAGATCTACCAAGCCAATGGAAAACGAAAAAAGGCAGGGGTTGCAATCCTAGTCTCTGATAAAACAGACTTTAAACCAACAAAGATCAAAAGAGACAAAGAAGGCCATTACATAATGGTAAAGGGATCAATTCAACAAGAAGAGCTAACTATCCTAAATATATATGCACCCAATACAGGAGCACCCAGATTCATAAAGCAAGTCCTGAGTGACCTACAAATTGACTTAGACTCCCACACAATAATAATGGGAGACTTTAACACCCCACTGTCAACATTAGACAGATCAACGAGACAGAAAGTCAACAAGGATACCCAGGAATTGAACTCAGCTCTGCACCAAGCGGACCTAATAGATATCTACAGAACTCTCCACCCCAAATCAACAGAATATACATTTTTTTCAGCACCACACCACACCTATTCCAAAATTGACCACATAGTTGGAAGTAAAGCTCTCCTCAGCAAATGTAAAAGAACAGAAATTATAACAAACTGTCTCTCAGACCACAGTGCAATCAAACTAGAACTCAGGATTAAGAATCTCACTCAAAGCCGCTCAACTACATGGAAACTGAACAACCTGCTCCTGAATGACTACTGGGTACATAACGAAATGAAGTCAGAAATAAAGATGTTCTTTGAAACCAAAGAGAACAAAGACACAACATACCAGAATCTCTGGGATGCATTCAAAGCAGTGTGTAGAGGGAAATTTATAGCACTAAATGCCCACAAGAGAAAGCAGGAAAGATCCAAAATTGACACACTAACATCACAATTAAAAGAACTAGAAAAGCAAGAGCAAACACATTCAAAAGCTAGCAGAAGGCAAGAAATAACTAAAATCAGAGCAGAACTGAAGGAAATAGAGACACAAAAAACCCTTCAAAAAATCAATGAATCCAGGAGCTGGTTTTTTGAAAGGATCAACAAAATTGATAGACCACTAGCAAGACTAATAAAGAAAAAAAGAGAGAAGAATCAAATAGACACAATAAAAAATGATAAAGGGGATATCACCACCGATCCCACAGAAATACAAACTACCATCAGAGAATACTACAAACACCTCTACACAAATAAACTAGAAAATCTAGAAGAAATGGATAAATTCCTCAACACATACACTCTCCCAAGACTAAACCAGGAAGAAGTTGAATCTCTTAATAGACCAATAACAGGAGCTGAAATTGTGGCAATAATCAATAGCTTACCAACCAAAAAGAGTCCAGGACCAGATGGATTCACAGCCGAATCCTACCAGAGGTACAAGGAGGAACTGGTACCATTCCTTCTGAAACTATTCCAATCAATAGAAAAAGAGGGAATCCTCCCTAACTCATTTTATGAGGCCAGCATCATTCTGATACCAAAGCCGGGCAGAGACACAACAAAAAAAGAGAATTTTAGACCAATATCCTTGATGAACATTGATGCAAAAATCCTCAATAAAATACTGGCAAACCGAATCCAGCAGCACATCAAAAAGCTTATCCACCATGATCAAGTGGGCTTCATCCCTGGGATGCAAGGCTGGTTCAATATACGCAAATCAATAAATGTAATCCAGCATATAAACAGAACCAAAGACAAAAACCACATGATTATCTCAATAGATGCAGAAAAAGCCTTTGACAAAATTCAACAACCCTTCATGCTAAAAACTCTCAATAAATTAGGTATTGATGGGACGTATTTCAAAATAATAAGAGCTATCTATGACAAACCCACAGCCAATATCATACTGAATGGGCAAAAACTGGAAGCATTCCCTTTGAAAACTGGCACAAGACAGGGATGCCCTCTCTCACCACTCCTATTCAACATAGTGTTGGAAGTTCTGGCCAGGGCAATCAGGCAGGAGAAGGAAATAAAGGGTATTCAATTAAGAAAAGAGGAAGCCAAATTGTCCCTGTTTGCAGATGACATGATTGTATATCTAGAAAACCCCATTGTCTCAGCCCAAAATCTCCTTAAGCTGGTAAGCAATTTCAGCAAAGTCTCAGGATACAAAATCAATGTACAAAAATCACAAGCATTCTTATACACCAACAACAGAAAAACAGAGAGCCAAATCATGAGTGAACTCCCATTCACAATTGCTTCAAAGAGAATAAAATACCTAGGAATCCAACTTACAAGGGATGTGAAGGACCTCTTCAAGGAGAACTACAAACCACTGCTCAAGGAAATAAAAGAGGATACAAACAAATGGAAGAACATTCCATGCTCATGGGTAGGAAGAATCAATATTGTGAAAATGGCCATACTGCCCAAGGTAATTTACAGATTCAATGCCATCCCCATCAAGCTACCAATGACTTTCTTCACAGATTTGGAAAAAACTACTTTTTTAGTTTTATATAATCCCATCGATCTATTTTTAGTTTTGCTGCCTGTGCTTTTGAAGTTTTGTCTATAAAATCCTTTCCCAGATATGTGTCCTGAAGCATTTCTTCTATGTTTTATTCTAGTAATTTTATAGTTTCAGGTCTTACATTTAAGTTCTTAATCCATTTTGAATGATTTTTGGATATAGTGAGAGATTGGAGTCTAGTTTCATTTCCGTACATATGGAAATCTACTTTTCCCAGCACATCTATTGAAGAGGCTGTCCTGTCTCCCACGTATATTCTTAATGCCTTTGTTAAAAATCAGTTGCTGTAAATATGTACATTTATTTCTGGGTTTTCTATTCTGTTCTATTGGTCTGTTTGTCTGTTTTTATACCAGTACCATGCTGTTTTGATTACTATGGTTTTTTAGTATATTTTGGAGTCACGTAGTGTGATGCCTCTGACTGTTCTTAGTGAGGATTGCTTTGACTATTCATGGTCTTTTGTGATTCTAAACACAATTGTTTTGTTTTTTGATTTTGCGTTTTTTTCTACTTCTCTGAAGAATGTAATTGGCATCATGGCAGAGATTGCACTGACTCTGTATATAACTTTGGGTAGTGTGATTACTTTGGCAATATTAATTCTTTCAATTAATGAATATAACATGTTTTCTCATTTTTTGGTGTCCTCTTCAGTTTCTTTCACCAGTGTTTTTTATTTTTCATTGTAGAGATCTTTTACCTCCTTGGTTAATTTTATTTCCAGGCTTTTTTTTGGTAGCTATTTTAAATAAAAATGCTTTCTTGATTTTTTTTCAGGTAGTCTATTACTGGTATATAGAAATATTATTAATTTTTATATTTTGGTTTTATTGAATTTGTTTATCAACTCTAAGAGGTTTTTGGTGGAGTCTTCAGGGTTTTTTTAAATATATACAGATCATGTTATCTGCAAACAGAGACCAATTTGACTTTCTCTTTTCCAATTTGGATGCCTTTTATTTTTTTTTCTTGTCTAATTACTCTGGCTGGAACTTCCAAAGACATGTTGAATAAGAGCAGTAAAAGTAGGCATTCTTGTCTTGTTATATAATAGTTATTAAAGAAAAGTTTTCTACTTTTCCCCATTCACTATGATGTTTGTCATATATGGCCTATATTGTGTTGGGGTATGTTCCTTCTAGTATTCCTACCTAATTTATTGAGAATTTTTATCATGAGAGGATGTTAATGTTAAATTTTGTCAAATAGATGCTTTTTCTGCATCTATTGAAATGATTATATGGTCTTTGCACTTCATTCTATTGATGTGATGTATTACATCTATTGATTTATGTATGTTGAACCATCCTTGCATCCTTAGGATAAATCCCACTTGATCAATGTGTATAATCTTTTTGATGAATTATTGAATTCAGTTAGCTAGTATTTTGTTGAGAATTTTGCACCTATGTTCATCAGGAATATTGGCCTGTAGTTTTCGTTGTTGTTGTTGTTTCTGCTGCTGCTGTGTCCTTGTGTGATTTTGGTATCAAGGGAATTCTGGCTTCATCGAATAAGTAAGAAAGAATTCCCTCCTCTTCAAATTTTGGGAGTAGTTTCAGAATTGGTATTAGTTATTCTGTAAAAGTTTCCTACAATTCTGCAGTAAAGCCTTCTGCTCATGGGCTTCTTTTTGTTGGAAGACTTTATTTCTGATTTAATCTTGTGACTCCTTATCAGTATGGTTAGGTTTTCTATTTCATCTTCATTCAACCTTGATAGGATATACGTGTCTAAAAATTTATCTATTTTCTCTAGGTTTCCCAATTTGTTGGTGTGCAGTTGTTTATAATAGTTTCTCATGATCTTTTGTATTTCTGAGGCATCAGTTCTAATGTCTCCTTTCTTCTTCTAATTTTATTTATTTGGGTCTTCCCTCTTTTTTCCTTAGTGTAACAGATGGTTTTCAACTTTTCTTATCTTTACAAAAACCAACTTTCTGTTTCATTGATCTGTTGTATTTTTTAAGTCTTTATTTTGTTTATTTCTGTTTGATCTCAATTCTTTCTTTCCTATTAACAATTTTGATTTTTGTTTCTTCTTTTTATTCTAGTTTCTTGACATGTAATGATAGCTTCTTTATTTGAAATATTTCTAATTTTGATGTAGGCATTTAATCTTATGAACTTCCCCCTTAACATTGCTTTTTCAGTATTACATGGGGTTTGGTATGTTGTGTTTCTATTTTCATGTCTTGAGAAATTTGTTTTATTTTCTTCTTAATTTCTTCATAAACTCTTTGGTCATTCAGAAGCATGTCGTTTAATTTCCATGATGGTCAGACACAGTGACTCATACCTGTAATCTCAGTATTTTAGGAGGTCAAGGTGGGAAGATGGCTTGAGGCCAGTAGTTTAGGACAAAGAAAGGGACCCCATATCTCCATAAAAAAAAAATTAATTGGCCGAGAGCAGTGGCACATGCCTGTAATACCAGCACTTTGGGAGGCTGAGGTGGGCGGATCACGAGGTTAAGAGATCGAGACCATCCTGGCCAACATGGTGAAATCCCATCTCTCCTAAAAGTACAAAAATTAGCTGGCCATGGTGGTGCACACCTGTAGTCCCAGCTACTCAGGAGGCTGAGGCAGGAGAATCGCTTGAACCTGGGAGGTGAAGGTTGCAGTGAGCCAAGATCGCACCACTGCACTCCAGCCTGGTGACAGAGCGAGTATCCATCTCAAAAAAAAAAAAAATAAATAAATAATGTATTTGTACAGTTTTCAAAATTTCTCTATTGATTTCTAGTTTTACCCCATTGTGGTCTGAGAAGCCACTTGATAAGATTTTGATTTTTAAAAATTTGTTGAGACTTGTTTTGTGTCCTAAAATATGGTCTATCCTGGAGAATGTTCCACGTACTGGTAAGAAAAATGTGTACTCTGTGCAGCTTTTCAGTGAAATGCTCTATAAATGTCTGTTAAATCCATTTAGTCTATGCAGTTTAAATCCCAATGTGTCTTTGCTGATTTTTTTAATCTAGGCAACCTCTTCAATGCTGAGAGTAAGGTGTTTAAGTTCCTAACTATTATTGCATTGGGAAGTATCTCTCCGTTTCGCTCTAATGGTATTTGTTTTATATATCTGGTGTTGGGTATAAATCTATTTAAAATTATTATATCTTCTCACTGAATTGATTCCTTTATCACCATATAATTACCTTCTTTGTCTCTTTAATAAATTTTTAAAGTCTGTTTTATCTGATATAAATATAACTACTCATGCTCATTTTTTATTTCTATTTGTGTAGAACATCTTTTCCCATCTGCTCACATTCAGGCCATGTGTTTATAGATGAAGTGAGTTTACTGAAGACAGCATATAGTTGGATGTTTTCATTCAGCCAGTTTATATCTTTTAATTGGGGATGTAAACTGTTTACATGCTAGGTGTTTTGACAGATGTGAACTAACTTTGCCATTTTACTAATTGTTTTTTGGTAGATTTGTATTCCCTTCCTCCCTTCCACACTTACTCACTCTTTCTTTTCTTTTCTTTTCTTTTCTTTTCTTTCTTTCTTTCTTTCTTTCTTTCTTTCTTTCTTTCTTTCTTTCTTTCTTTCTTTCTTTCTTTCTTCTTCTCTCTCTCTCTCTCTCATTGTTTATCTGGGTGGTTTAGTGATTTTCTGTAGTGATGATATTTGATTTTTTCCTCTTTCTCATCACGTATCTGATCTACCAGTGAATTTTTTTCTTGTGTGCTTTCTTATGGTAGTTATCATCCTTCTGTTTCCAGATGTACAATTCTTTTGAGTATTTCTTGTAGGGGCAGTCTTGTGGTGATGAATTTGCCTAGTATTTGCTTGTGTGAGAAAGACTTTATTTCTCCTTCATTTCTTAAGGATAGCTTTGCTGAATATAGCATTCTTGGCCAACGATATTTTTCTTTCAGCACCTTAAATATATCAACCCATTCTCTCCTGGTGCGTAAGGTTTCAACTGAGAATTTTTTTGTTTTTTTTATAAGGATCCCCCTTTCTGTGACCTGATGCTTTTCTCTTGCTAAAACCCTCTTTTTGTCTTTGAATTTTGATGGTTTGACTTTAATGTGGCTCAGCAGAGACCTTGTAGGATTGAATTCACTTGGGGATTTTTGAGCTCCCTGGATCTGAGTGTCCATATCTCCTCTAAGCCTTGGGAATTTTTCAGCTATAATTTAATTAAATAGGTTTTCTATGCCTTTTTTTCCATCTCCTTTCCTTCTGAAATGCTCATAATGTGAATTCTTGTCTGCTTAATGTTGTTCTATAAGTCTCATTTTATATTGTTTAATCTTTTCTTTTTTTCTTTTTCCCTAAGTGGGTCATTTCAAAATACCTGTCTTCAGAATCAAAAATTCTTTATTCTTTGATCTAGTCAATTGTTAAAACCCTGAAGTGCATTTTTTAAATTATTCATTGAATTCTTCAGTTCCAAGATTTGTGTTGGGTTCTTTTTAATGATATCTATCTCTTGGTTAAATTTTTGATTCAGATTATGAATTATTTTCCAGATTTTGTTGAATTATCTATCTGTATTCTTTTGTAGCTGACTGAGTTTCCTTAAAAATCATTTAATTTGTTTGCAGGCATTTGATAGATTTCCTTTTTTTTGTATTCTGTTACTGAAGAATTATTGTGTTCGTATGGAAGAGTTATTTCCTCTTGCTTTTTCATGTTGCTTTTGTCCCTACATTGACATCTGTGCATCTCATTGCATAGCCCCATCTTCTATTCTTACTAAGTAGCTTTTTTAGAAAAAAGACTTTTCCCTGTGGATATGTCCTATAATGTTGGCTGTATAGACTGCTTTGGCATTGGTTTGGTGTAAACATAACAATGTAGTCTCTAAGTGATTTCTTTGGCTGCAATAAAAGTCAACAGTGTCTGCAAGTACCTCAGGGTCTTATAGTGCAGTTGTTTGTGGAGGGTGTGGCATGGTTTTGCTGAGGGTGGAGACTGTTGGAGATCCAAGCTATGCCTCCCCCTCACTCCATGATCCCCACAATACAGTCCTTTGTGACCACCTACAAACTACCCCTCAGCACTTTTTTACAGCTGCTTGTGAAAGAATTTCAGTAGAACTAGTAAACAGTTCCAGGAAGTGTTTAAGACATCTGCCCACCTTGCATAAATGAGCAGGCAAAAACATTTCCAGGAAATGGTTGAAACATCTGCAATCCTACTTAGTTTCCCCAACCTCAACCTTGCCCCTATAAAACCCCACAGCAGCCTGTAAGTGGGGCTGCCTCCTCCACCTACTGTGGAGCAGTCTGACAGGTTAATAAAATTTGCTTGCCTGACTTTGGGTCTACTCATCCTTACTCTTAGCTAACCATACATTTTGGTGCTGAAACCTGGGAGGGGGTAGGCTCTGGCCAGGTGTCCCTAGAGGACTCATTCTCTCTCTCTCTCTCTCTCTCTGTCTCTCTTTCTCTCCCTCTTGCTCCCTCTATCCTCCCGGGCTCACCTCTCTCTCTTTCTCTCCCTCCCTCTTCCTCCCTCCCTCCTCCCAGGCTTACTCATCATGGTGCACTGGAGTCTCAGTGCCTTTCCCCCTCTCCTGGCCATACCCCCCTTCCCGAACCTGCCGAAGACCTGGAAGATTTCTCAGACCCTCCCATTGTAGGTGACTCCATTTATCACCAAAGCCTGCACAGGGATAAGAGAGACTCTTGCCATTTATCCAGAATGCTTGAACATCCCTATTTGCCCAAAAGACCCAGCCCTGGGCCAAGGGCTTCCTCCCAGCATCTGGGCCTCCAGTTCCTCCATTTCAGGGACACCTGACTCAGTGGTTACCTCCCTGCTCCTAGGCAAGGCCCGTGGGACAGGGGACGCCATCTCCCACCGTCCTTGTCATTGGAAGTCTCTTCTTCCTCTACCGCCCCCCATTCCATTCAGTATGGGAGCCTCTCAATCTACTCTAAGATTACCCCTGGGGTGCCTCCTTCACAATCTTAACACTCTCGGCCTCTGTTCAGAGGTTCATCCCAAAAGACTTATTTTCTACTGTAATACAGCTTGGCCAGAATATAAATTAGACAACGACTCCCCGTCGCCTGAAAATGGTACCTTCAATTTCAATATACTCAGGGACTTAGACTAATTTTTGTTATTGCCATGAGAAATGGTCTGAAATTCCTTATGTTCAGGCTTTCTTCACCCTCCAAAATCACCCTTCTCTCTGCCAATCCTGCTACAGTAGGGGCCGTGGCAGTTCCCTGAGAAGAGCCTTCGTGGGAATACCAACCGACAGGTCCCAGGGTGAGCACCCTGTAACCATATGGTCACTTGCCTCATTGCAGTCCTTAACAAAGCTGCCCATAAAGCTGTAAATTTTGAAAAACTCAAAGAGATTTCCCAGGGGGCAGATGAAAATCCCACTGAATTTCTCTCCCACCTTGTAGAGGCTCTCCAAAAATACACCCATGTCGATCCTGCTTCCTGAGAAGGCACTATAGATCTTTATACCCATTTTATCTCCCAATCAGCTCCCAACATCTGGCGAAAACTCAAAAAGGCTGAAGAAGGCCCTCAAACCCCACAACAAGACTTTCTCAACCTGGCTTTGAAAGTCTTTAATAATAGGGATGAGCAGGAAAAAATAAATAAGGCCCAAAAAGATCATGCCAAATACCAGCTACTAGCCACAGCTATTTGCCAACCTGGCAATAGCACCCAAGGGCACAAAAGACCCAAAAGCAGTCTTCCTCCTGGGGTCTGCTTTAAGTGTGGCAAAGAAGGCCATTGGTCACAGGTGTGTCCTAACCCATGAGTACTGAAGAGCCCCTGCCCAGTCTGCCAACATACAGGCCACTGGAACTCTGACTGCTCTCTTAACAGGTGAACAGAAAAGCCTGCCCCCGCCCCCGACCCACTGTCCCTTCATCAAACCAAAGATTGAAGAATCCCTCGCACTCCCACAGCTCCTCGACCTGGCCACTGAAGACTGACATGGCCCAGGGACACCAAACCCCTCCTCCATCATGGCATCAGAGCCCAGGGTAATTCTACTAGTAGCAGGTAAGCCTATCTCTTTTTTAATCAATACTGGGGCCACCTATTTAGCTTTACCTGAATTTGCAGGACCAACTCATCCCTCTCAGGTCTCAGTTGTGGGAGCTGATGGACTTGTCTCCAATCCGTGTGCCACTGGACCCCTGTCTTTTTCCCTGTTTAATACCATTTTCTCACACTCTTTCCTTATCACACTTATCATGCCTCGCTGCCTTACCCCCATTCTAGGCCAAGATCTTTTAGCCAAATTTAAGGCTTCTATCACCTTTTCCTGCCTCCCTCAACCAGAGTCCCTCCTGCTCCTTTCCATCAGTCCAAACCCGACCCCTCTCCCCAGTACCCACTTCCCACCTCACTCATTAACCCAGTGGTGTGGGACACCACACCCCCATCCCTAGCTGCTCACCATGACCCCATCATAATCCAAGACCCCTCCAAGTTTCCCAACGTACCCCAATACCCCATCTCTCTCACCCACCAAAAAGGCCTACAACCCATTATAAACAAGCTCTGCTCATGCAGTCTTCTTAGACCAACTCACTCTCCATATAACACCCCCATCCTTCCTGTTAAAAAGTCAGATGGCTCTTACCGACTAGTCCAAGACCTCTGGGCTATCAATCAGGCAGTCCTTCCCATTCGCCCAGTAGTTCCCAATCCTTATACACTCCTCTCCCTTATTCCCTCCAATACCACCAACTACACCGCCATTGACCTAAAGGATGCCTTCTTCACTATTCCCCTGTACCCTGACTCCCAAAACCTCTTTTCTTTCACCTGGACTGATCCTGAGACCCTTCAATCGCAACAACTCACATGGACTGTTCTCCCTCAGGGCTTCAGGGACAGCCCTCACTTCTTCAGACAAGCTCTAGCCCAAGACCTCACCTCCTTGGACCTTGCCCCCAGTGGTCTCCTTCAATACATAGATGATCTCCTTCTTTGCAGCCCCTCCCTAGAAGATGCTCAAACTCACACTATTAGCCTTCTAAACTTTCTTGCTAGCAAAGGATATAGGGTCTCCCTCTCCAAATCACAACTATCCACCCCAACAGTAACACACGTGGGAGTCCAACTCTCCCTCGGGGCATGAGCCGTGACCCCAGCACCGGCAGCCTTAATAGACAGCCTGCCTCCACCTTCCTCAAAAAATGAAATTCTCTCTTCCTTAGGACTGGCAGGTTTCTTTAGGATACGGATTCCCAACTTTGCCCTCCTAGCTCATCCCCTCTATGAAGCAGCCAAAGGCCACCTCAATGAACCCCTAAGCCCCTTACATAACATACTTCTCAGTTTCCATAAACTCCAAACTGCTCTTGTCACCACACCAGCCCTGTCCTTACCTGATATCTCCCAACCTTTCATTCTCTATATCGCTGAAAGCTGGGGGATAGCCCTCAGTGTCTTAGGACAACAGAAAGGAGATGCTCCTTTCTTTGCCCCTGTAGCGCATCTCTCTAAACAATAAGACAATACCATCAAAGAGTGGTCAACCTGTCTTAGAGCATTGGCAGCAGTAGCCATTTTAGCCCTGGAAAGCAAAAAACTGACATTCAGCCAAAACACCGCTGTCCACAGTCCTCAGAATTTACAGGATCTCCTCTCCTCTTGGGTGTTAAGCTCCCTCTCTCCTTCCTAAATTCAATCACTCCATGCCCTCTTTATTAAAAACCCAGAATTCAGCCTTGCCAAAAGTGCTCCCCTCAACCCAGCATCCTTACTTCCCATATCCTCTTCCCCCTACTCATTCTTGCACTGACATCCCGGACCACATACAGCCCCATTTCCCAAACATTTCCTCCAAGCCTCTCACCAACCCTAGTGACAAACTATTCATAGATGGCTCCTCTTCTGGGCCCACCGGCTCCCCCAAAATTGCTGGATATGCAGTTCTTTCTCTTGACCGAGTAATTGAAGCCAAACCCCTACCCCCAGGAACCGCCTCAAAAAAGCAGAACTCATAGCTCTCACCAGGGCCCTAACCCTTTCCAAAGGCAAATAAGTCAACACTTACACAGACTGCAAATATACCTACCATATTCTTCATTCCCATGCCGCCATCTGGCAAGAGAGATGATTCCTTACTGCCAAAGGAACCCTCATCACTAACGGCCCCCTTATTTACCAACTCCTTCAGGCCGCACACCTCCCAGCTAAAACGGGAGTTATACACTGTAGAGGGCATCACACAGGGTCAGATGAGATCTCCAGAGGAAACAGAAAGGCCGATGAGGTAGCAAAAGAAGCCTCCTTTTCTTCTGTCCCTGCCCCTCTCCTCATTACCCTGGCAATCCAACCCAAGTACTCTCCCACTGAAAAAGCTTTGCTACTACAGCAAGGAGCCTCCCTCCAAGGGGATTGGATAGTCAAAAATCAAAAGCTTGTCCTCCCCCAAGAGCAAACCAAAGAAATTATAACATCTCTGCACCAATCCTTTCATATCAGTGCACACTTCCTGTACCTACTCCTTGCCCTTATTTCTCCTCTCCCCACTTATTCACCTCACTAAAAGACATAACCTCCAACTGTCGTATATGCTCTGTTACTTCCTCCCAAGGGGCCCTCCACTCTCCCTCCATCCCTACACATCAGCTCAGAGGAACAAGCCCAGGGAAAGACTGGCAGGTAGACTTCACCCACATGCCTCCCATCAAAAGAACAAAATTTCTTCTTACTCTTATAGACACCTTCTCTGGGTGGGTAGAAGCATTTCCAACCTCTTCAGAAAAGGCTGCAGTAGTCACCCAAATTCTTATAGCAGAAATTATCCCTAGATTTGGTCTCCCTCACTCCATACAATCAGACAATGGCCCTTGCTTCATCTCCCAAATTACCCAACAGATTTCTCAGTCCCTAAGTGTCTAGTGGTGCCTCCATATCCCATACTGACCCCAGCCACCAGGAAAAGTTGAAAGGGCAAATGGAATTATCAAAGCGTAGTTAACCAAACTCACTCTTGAAGTCCAGAAACCCTGGACTTCTCTTCTGCCCATAGTTCTAGTCTGCATTAGAGCCTGTCCAAGGGCACCCTCCTTCCTCAGCCCATTAGAATTAATGTATGGATGCCCCTCCTACAAAACAGGTCCCCATCTGATTCTCAGGAGAATACCTCCCCACACTCTCCCTTATCTGCCATCTCCTCCGTGAACAAGCAGACCAAGCTCTCCCAAAACCCCACGAAGGCCCCACCGACCAGACTCTCCTAACAGGAGAACATGTTTTCCTAAAAACCTTCAACCCGACAAATCTCAAGCCCAAGTGGGAAGGCCCTTTCCAGGTTATTCTCACAACCCCCAATGCAGCCAAACTCCCAGGACATACTCTTGGTACCATCTTTCCAGATTAAAAAGGGCTCCTACAGCTGACTCACTCACAACTGATCCGCCAATCGTCCTTTGCAAATACCTCAGCGCTCCTCTGGGACCAACCTGACTTTGCCTCACTCCTGTTTCAGAAGAACCCCTCTCTACCTAAAGATATGAAAGATAAGCAACACCCTATTTAATGTTTAACATCTTCCCTACTTCTACCCCTACCTTCTCTAATGGAAGTCTTTCACTATACCACCATTGCAATAAGGGGCATACTAACCATACTCTTTGCAGTAGGATTATATACTGTAGCACCTTCCAAGTGGAGTATCAGGCAAAAAACCTCAGTCACTCTAACCCTTTGCCTGTTAATTATCCTTATAATTGGAATCACAGTCTATAACAAATAACTACCACCTCTAAATGCTCTGCCCATGCCTATATTGCCGCTTTACCCTCTTCCTCACCTCCGTTTGCCAAGATAGCTCTTGGTTTATCCCCAAGCTCCCACTTTTGACTCTCTTTTAGAGTGGATAAATGACCTTCTCTTCCAAGGTGCCTTGTGTGATTTTTCCCCAGATGAAATGCACTTATTTACTTTTCTACTTACCCTTTGTCTACCCCTCCTACTCCCCCCACACTCTAGCTCTCCTTCCTCCACCAACGCCTAATTAACTTCACAAAATCCCAAATCTTACCCATGCCTTATTACAATAGGCCAAGCCCACCCTAGCTGATAACTACTGGCTTTGCTTTTACCTATCAACTACAGCCTACACCACAATTCCTGCTTCAACCCGTGACTGGGTTTTTACTTGAATAACTTTCCACCCCCATTATGAGCTAAGCGGACCCTACCCATACCCAGATTTACAGTCCTTAATAAGTCTCTCCTATTCCTATGCCGAAACAAACAAACCCCTCACCACAATAGGGCAAGCAGTTCTGCTAATGTGCCCCTATTTTGATAATCTAGCCCCAATACCAACCATACCAAGCCTATCCTCAGTCCTATAAACCACCAACACCTTCTTAACTTCCCAAGCCCCTCTATGCATCCAATGCCACCTACTCTCAGGTTACCTCCTAGGACACCTACCTTCAAACCACTGCAATTTCACTCTGCAACTCCAAGGCCCAATTGACCATACTAACCTTCCCATTTTCCGGGTTACCATGTGCTTTTCTGGTCCCCCCAAAATTAACACCACTCTACTACAAAACTTCAACTCAGGATACTACAATGGAAGGCACTTACCCTGCTTATCCCTTCAACCCTGAACTCCATCCCCCTCTGAGGCCCATCTCCCAACCATAAATGAATGTCTTCTAATACCTTTATTAAATGGTAACAAAAGACTCCTGGTAGATACAAAACAATTTCTCCTCCACTGGGAAAACACAAATCCAGATTCAACTCAACTGTCTCCTAATACCCCTTTACAGTCACTCACCGCAGCTGCCTTGGCAAGCACCCTAGGAGCATGGATATACAAAGACCACAAACTTACACACCTTTTTAACATACACAGCCAATTCTGCTTACCCAGCCAAGGCATATTCTTCCTGTGCGGTACCTCCCTCTATCTCTACTTCTCTACCAACTGGACTGGTAACTGTACTCTAGTTTTTCTGAGCCCCAAAATCGACATTGTCCCTGGAAACCAAAGCCTACCAATCCCTGTAAAAACTCAAGTGTGCCAACGCAGGGCCATTCAGTTAATACCCCTCCTAACAGGGCTAGGAATTACTACTGCAGTTGGAACCGGAGTGACCGGGCTTTCTACTTCCCTCACTTACTATCGTTCCTTCCCACAAGATCTTACAGACAGTTTAGAAGACTTAGCTAACATTGTTTCAACCCTCCAATCACAAATAGACTCCTTAGCAGCAGTTGTCCTTCAAAATCGCAGAGGCCTTAATATGCTCACTGCTGAAAAAAGAGGGCTCTGCATCTTTCTAGATGAACAGTGCTGCTTTTATCTCAATCAGGCCTAGTGCTAGATGCAGCCAAAAAACTCAAAGACCAAGCCAAAAAAAAAAAAAAAAAAAACAGAAAACGGAAAAACAAAAGCACATCTTCTACCTGGTCCCTCTGGATCTCATGCTTCCTTAGCTCTTGGGCTCCCTAGCTGCTACTCTTCCTTGGCCCAGCTATAACCATCCTTCTCTTAGCTTCTGGACCCCGCTTCAAACATCTCCTTACCCAGGTTTTACAGAACCTCATTAAAGCCTTCACCCATGGGACAGTATGAGATATGCTGTTTCTTCAGGAATACCGGCAGCTTCAAGAACAACCATCCCCCAACCTCCCTAGCCTTTCCCCTTGCACGCCGCCCCTCTTCAGCTAGAAGCAGT
Source organism: Homo sapiens (assembly GCF_000001405.40). Classification (NCBI taxonomy): domain Eukaryota; kingdom Metazoa; phylum Chordata; class Mammalia; order Primates; family Hominidae; genus Homo; species Homo sapiens. The sequence continues at coordinate 166,128,498 of NC_000005.10, read as the reverse complement.
TAGACGATAACCTCGCCCCTCTTCCTTTATCACCTATTAAAGGCTGGAATGTTAGAGATGCAAGCTACCCCTCCTCCTCACTCCATGACCCTGACAATACAGTCCTTTGTGACCAACTACAAACGCCACCCCTGCCCGCCTTATTTTACAGCCGCTTGTGCAAGACTTTCAGTAGAACTGGTAAACAGTTCCAGGATGCGGTTAACACATCTGCCCACCTTGCATAACTGAGCAGGCAAAAACATTTCCAGGAAATGGTTGAAACACCTGCAATCCTACTCAGTTTCCCCCACCCCAACTTAGCCCCTTACTCTATAAAACCCCACAGCAGCCTGTAAGCCAGGCTGCCTCCTCTGTCTACTGTGGAGCAGGCTGGCAGGTTAGTAAAACTTGCTTGCCTGACTTTGGGTCTACTCATCCTTACTCTCAGCTAAACTTACAGAGACCAGCAGGTGGGCTTGAGCCACTGTGAAGGCATTTAGCAGCTCTGCCGCAGGAGTGGACAAGGTTACCAGCAACAGCAGGCCTTGGGTGGGCCAGTCCTTGGGCTCCATGCAGAGTGCATGATGATTAGCAAATCTGCCACTGTGGTAGGTGGGGTCAATGTCTGTAGCAGGCCCTGGGTATGTGAATCCTTGGGACCCTGGGGGGTACGCATGTGACAGCTCTGCCCCTGGAATGGGTAGGGTCACCTGCAGCATTGGTGGGACCTAGATGGACTTGATCCTCAGGCCCCAAGTGGGAACACAGGTGTAAAGTAGTTCTACTACTGAAGGTAGTGTGGTCACCAGCAGAGTCAGATGCCAGGCTGTTGGCTCTCAGGTTCTGTGGAATGTGTGCATCTACAACTTCTATCTTGAGGATATCCTCCCTGCTGTGCTGGACCACCTGTTATCTGGGATGCAGAGCACTATATGGGCTTAAGAGCCTGGTTCACAGCTGCACCACTGAATCTAGCTGGAGCTGTGGCCCTGCAGTCTTCTGTGTGGGTATGGTGGGATAACAGTGGAGCCCCAAGGATGTGCAGATGCAGGGGTAATTGGCCCCCTGGGCAGGATGCTGTCTGGTAGGGGCTCCATCCTCAAAATGGTGTTATACTACAGCATCCTGGGTCCTAGGAAGTAAGAGGGCCAAGTGTGTATTCTATCTTTACGGTAATATAGTCACCTGGACTCCAGGAACCTCCCTCCACTGGACTCAGGGCCTGTGAGGATAGTAGGGCTCTTCTGCAGCCTAGAATTACAGGCTTCCATGGTGGGATGTGAATGGCTGGGGATCTCCCACTCACCCATTTGTCACATTGGGAATGCTTGGTTCTAAATAGATCCTGGCCAGGTACTTTGCTTCCCTCTTTTTGCTGCCATCCTGAGTTTCCATGCCTCAGGGGGTCTTTGTCACTTCATCATTAAATTCCATTGTTCTCCCCTAGAGACTTTGTTCAACTTGCAGTTATCTATTCATACTTGTTATTTTTGTTCTTCTTTGTAGAGGAGACACATGCTAGGTGCCTCTAGTCAGCGATCTTGATGACATCTTTGTTTTGGACTTCTAATGACATGATGAAGAAAGTGAAAAACAAGCCACAGATGAGTGGGCACGTTGGGCCAAGCACTGTTCTAGACATAAATATTTCATAGGTAAGTAAATCCAGCAAGACCTTTTTTCCTACCCTTTTTCTTTTTCCTTTCCATTCTCAGATTTTGGCTACTTGCTGCCAACTATGCAAGGGAAGCAGATATAAAAATACCTTGTAACAGGGCAGGAGAATAGAGTCTGGAAAGCACCCCAAGACCCCAGAAAGGCAGTTGCGGTGATACACAAAACACTAGAATCTGCTGAAGGAGCCAATAGTCCTTCCTAGCCACATCTCCATAGAATTTGTTTGTTGTTTATTTCTTTATTTTTTCTTTTCTTCTTTTTTTTTTTTTTTTTTTTTGAGATGACCTCGCTCTGTCACCCAACCTAGAGTGCATTGGTGTGATCATGGCTCAATAGAGCCTCAACATCCTGGGCTCATGTAATTCTCCTGCTTCAGCCTCCCAAGTAGCTGGGACTATAGGCATGCACCAACACACCTGGCTATTTTTTTTTTTTTTTTTAATTTTGGAGAGACAGAGTTTTACTATTTTTCCAAGGCTGGCCTCAAACCCCTGGGCTCAAACAATTCTCCCATCGTGGCCTCCTAAAGTGCTGGGATGAAAGGTGTGAACCACGACACCTGGTCTCCACTGGGTTTTTAAATATACAAGTTAGCTGTCAACATTGAATACAGAAGATTTTATATAAAAATCAGAATGTTTAGTTTCTCTTAAAAAATCCAATAACATGTAACTTGGGCCTTCATTCTCACACAATAACAAGGAGCTAGGGTGGGGCGAGAGCTCTTCACTTTATACCAGACCTCACCTGGCCTGCTTCTTGCATCTGTTATGTTCGTGGGCCTGTAAGTTTACAACTGATGCTCTAGAGGTGCATGATGGAGTCTGAGTCAAGCAATAGTGAGTGGCTGTAGCTAATTACCTCTGCACTGTACATATGCTACTGAAAAATAGCTAAGAATGTGTGCTAGAGCTGTTACCAAGAGGGTTTAGACTTGAAGTGCTTAATCTCCCTGGAGAGAGAGAGATGTTATTCTCATCTTCTTTCCTCCCTGAGAAACTATGAGAGTTGAGTAGGAGCAACGTAACTCAGACACCTCTAGATCCTACATGTCAGCTTCATTCCATGATGAACTATTGGTTTTCTACAGAGACACTTCATCAGCAGAGGCACGAGCAACCAGCAGACAACAGAATCAACTAGCAGATTGGTTAGAATTTCTAGTTTTCAACTTACTAGGCAATTGTAGCGAGGAATTGACCAGTTAACTTGAGCATACCCCCAGGAATTCTTGATCTTTTTATGACTGAGGAAATTCCAGAGCAGAAAGATGATATTTTCTTGATTATGAGATAAGTGCTATAGCTGATCATCTGAATTTCAAAAAAGAAATGTTGTCTTATTTTTGCACCCTCAAAATCCGAAACAAAGTAAACTAGTTATATGATGAAAACATTAACAATTGAAGTAGAAACATTTATAAGTGTGGATTAATATTTAAACTGTTTGCCGAAAGTTTTATATCACATATTGGAAACATATTCAGAAGTAACCCTGGGCATTCATTTGAAGGTGATATGATCATATTTATAGCAAAATGCAAGGTGGTTTGCAGGTCAGAATCTACCTTCCCAGTGATGTATTGAGCTATTTTGAGGTTATGCCCTGAAAGTGGTTTGTATTTTTCTTTATATGTGTGGGCACATGTGTATGTGTGTGTGCACGCACACACATACACATGCTTATAGGGATGCACACATGTACAGTTTATGAAGTCACTGAAGAAGCCATAAAATGAATCACCATTGGATTCAAACACAGTTTCTCAGGCATTTTAAAAAGAGGGACATTTCGCTGATATCTGTTGCCCCTTGAAAACATTATCAACCACAACATGGGACAGTGCTTCTAAGGTTAAGGGACCTGCTAAGATTGAACTTTCTTGATTATGACTAAGACTTCATATAAAGAATTCTCATAACAGAAGAGATGAAGATTAATTTTGCTAACGATTGGGAGGCTAAGCTTAACATTTATATATGTTTTACTTCTGTCTGCTTAAACATTACTTACTATTATAAGATGACTAAAAAAATTTTAAAGACATGATATGCTTTTCTCACAAAATTTATTTAAAAATGACTCTGATTTGTCATTATTTTAAAATTCTAATAGTAATTTTAAACTAGATTAATTAACTATTTAGTGGTTAGATCCTTTTTTCAGGCCACCTGAACAACAAATATATATATATAACTTCAACTCTACTAATGTTTCCTGTGAAAGCAACTTGCTATTTACTAATAATTTCACAAATATCATATTCATAAAGATGACAAGAAAACATTAATCATCCCAACCCCACGTATCTTTTAAATTACCTCCTGCAAAATATAAAGCCCAGTTGCTCAGTATGGCATGTACAGCTCTGCAGCACCTGACCCTTGCCTGCTTCTGCAGTGCTATTAGCTTTGACTCCGTATCTGCTCCTTATCATCTATCCCAAAGGATACACCTGGCCATTTCTAACCTGGTGCTTTCGCTCATATTCTATGTAACAGTTACTTCAACAACCCTTTTTTGTCGGGGAATATGTTGCTCAGTTACTGCCTCCAAGAAGCCTTCCCTTTCTTGTTCTTCCTTTTATTTATTACAGAGATTCATCAACACAAGTTGCAATAAAACACGAAAAAGATTGATGTAATGTTTCTGTGATAGGCAGCCTCTAAGATGATCTACAGATCTCTACTTCTTGATATTCATCATCTTACTGTAGGCTGGTCCACCTAGCATCTCTAAGCAGGATACTGAAAAAAAGTATCGAATGAGCTGCCGCTTCTGAGATTATGTTATGAGCTACTGTGTCTTCCAGTTAGCTCACCCCTCTCTTGCTTACTCAATCTGTGGTAAACCAGCTGTCATTGCTGCCTTCTGCCCTATATGGAGGCACAAAAAAGAAGGAATGGAGGGAGGCACCCAGCCAAGAGCCAGTGAGGACCGGAGACCTGCCAGCAGCCACACGAGTGAGGCTGGAAGCACATCTGCCTCCAATTTAGTCTTGAAATAACTGCAGCCTCAGCAGACACCTAAATTGCAGCCTTGTGAAAGACTCTCAGCCAGGGGCTCCCAGCTAAGCTGTGTATGAGTTTTTGAACTATAGAGACTGTGAGAGACTACATTTTTGCTGTTTGTCTCTAGGTTTTGGGGTAATTAGTTAAGCAGAAATGAACAGAGTTGCTAATAGAAATAATACAGTGGTTTTACTTTGGAAGAAATATATTTTAATCTAAGATCAAGTCCTTTCTCTGATTTGGGTGTTAAAATGGCTTATATTTTTTGATATTAGAGTGACAATATATTCTCTCTTTCTTTAAGCCTATAGTTAGTAAAATAAGTATATTTGAGTCCCACAGAATTTTTAAAAATGGTTTTCCAATTAATAAAATCAAAAGTTTGACAATAAGTTTTAAATTATTCCCATATCATTTACATTCTTCTATGATCATTATTTTGTGTAAAATGCTATAAATATTTTTTTATGTTTGTTTTCTCTAAATAAACTGTGAGTTTCTAAAGTATAAGAATTATGTGTTATTCATATTCACCAGCACACCATGCCGTATCTGGCACAGAGGGTACATTCTACAACTGTTTATTAAACGAGTAAGTAAATGAAAGTATGAATGAATAAAAACATTAATTACAATAAATGTGTTGGCTATTCTCCTGCAGTATCCTGGCATCATAACATATATTGCTATAGTGTAAAAAACACAGACATAATAGAAAACATTTACTATATCCTCTGGATAATGCCTAATGTTTGAAGTCTTTTAACTAGAAAGTTCAATTAATTAGAATGACCATCCTCTTTTTTTCAATAGCACAGCTATTATCTTTTTCTACATATGGCGCAGTTGAATATTGATTCAAATTTAAAGTCTTTCATTTTTGTCATCATGAAAGCACAGTACATGTAAATTACTTATCTATATACTGGGGAACTGAAGATTACAACTATGAGAGTGTTTAGAAACAAAAATTGCAAAAATACGAAATTCTCAGATTTATGCAAGACAAGGCAGATACTGACTTTGGAAACACACACACAGTCAATTTTCTGCAGTCTAATTCTACACATAAGAATTAGATTTAAGTAACAGAATTGTAATATTAAGAAGATATCCTAAAAAAGACAATAGAGAAAAGAAGACTGACTGTAATACTGAAGAAAAACATATGGACATTCTTCTGTAAAAAGATGGTTCAACTGCTTAGAAAATGTGGGAGTCCTAGCATCACAGACATCTTAAAAGAATCAAGTAAATTGTATTCCCATTTTCACTGACAGAGGACAACAAACACCTGATTATCAGTGAGAACCCAGTACAGTATTGCACCATAGCAGATAAAAATCTTGTCTACATGTTTAAAGCACACTGTCATGATCACTTCAGTATGCAGCACTAAGAGCTTCAAGAGAACACACTGCTATGAAACTAAATATGACAATGAGAAGATTTCAATAACAAATGTATGGTAGTTTCTCTTGATAAATACACAGATGCTACTATAGAAAACAGAGTTGTGAGGACATTATAAAGTGAAGGCTATGCTCTGTTTTGCCTTACTACTTTCAATGTTTGGTGATTAAGCTACCACATGATATCAATATGTGGTATCCAACAAAAAATTGGCATCCTACTGTGCAAAGAAGCTTCTGATACGATTCCTGATATTCATGACCTGGTAGTATTCATGACCCTTCTCCTTGAGTGCTGGCTGGTCCACATGACTTGCTTCTAACCAACAGAACGAATACGAAAAATGTAATAGGTTGTCACTTCTAAGATTACATCATAAAAGACTATGACTTCCATCTTATTCATACTCTTTCTCTCTCACTGTCTTGCTTGCCTGCTCTGATGAAGCCAGCTGCCATATAGAGAGACCAACACATCAAGAAACTGAGGGCTGGTTGGACATGGTGGCTCATGCCTCTAATCCCAAGACTTCGGGAGGCTGAGGTCTCTAATAAAACTACAAAAATTAGCTGGGTGTGGTGGTACATGTCTGTAATCCCAGCTACTTGGGAGGCTGAGACAGGAGAATCACTTGAACCCAGAAGGCAGAGGTTGCAGTGAGCTGAGATCACACCACAGCACTCCAGCCTGGGTAACAAAGTGAGACTCTGTCTCAAAAAAAAAAAAAAAAAAAGAAAGAAACTGAGGGCAGCCTCTAGCCAACCTCCGGCAAAGGTCTTGGCCCTTAGTCAGCTATTCCATGAGAAAATGAATCCTGCCAACAACCACATAAGTGAGTTTGAAAGCAGATCCTTCCCCATTTGAGCCTTGAGATGAGACCACAGACATTGCTGACAACTTGATTACAGTCTTTGATGGACTCTGAAACAGAGAACCCAACTAAGTTCTGCCCACATTTGACACCTACAGAACTATAAGATGATAAATACTATTGTTTCAAGCCACTAAATGTTAGGGTGATTAATGATGCAGCAATAGATAATTAACGTACCTCCCAATGCCATACAGGACTGAGTAGTTAGTGCCAAGGAGACTTTTGCTATAGTTACATCAAAAATAAAAAGACCCATTTTCTGTGATTAAATTTCCCTAACAAATACTAAATATCTCTAGAATATAAGGAACAGCTATGAATGGGCAGAGAACATGTGAAATTTAATTTCAATAGTTTGAGATTTGGAAAGAATTTAGTTGAAGGAAGCAGGGACTAAGGTAGAATCAGGCCAATTATATCAAGTACTTATGAGACAGAAGAAACTCATAAGCCCATGCTCAAGAGAAAGCATGAGCTAGACTGATACTGAGTGTGCGAAGGTGTCATGTATAAATAGTGTGTTTCAAGTGGCTGGCTCATACAATCGGCCTTGGATGGAACCATGGGAGCACCTGGGTTGATACTAGATTTTACCGGCATAACTGGGAAAAGCACAGAACTCTTGGGGACTTAAAGTGCATGCATAGAGGGGACCGTAGAGCCATTGGGATGTTGCATTTTCTTGGTTCTATAATGCCTTTTTTTTCATTGTCTTGAGTCATAGTATATGTTGGTTTTAGTTATTTAGTTACAGGTAACAAAAAATAGAACAGACTTATTCAGGCAAAAAGTATTGGAAATAGGTGGAGTAGCTTGTATATTTTAAAATAACACTTGAATATCTAGGCCTTGGGAAAAACAGAAAGTAGGACAGCCTGGAGGATCTACACAGCAAGAACTCATGACCAAGTAGCAACTGTTTTTGTCATTGTCGTTCTACCTGATACTTAAATTATCTGGGAGGAAGTATAATTGGAATAACTTCATTTGCATGTTTGTCTCTGACTCTATTTCTGTGGCCAGTGGAGGCCAGACTCTGTTTGGTCAAGTGTGTACCATATGTCCACCCTTGAGACAGTGGTTCAACCCTACTGAACTGAACTACATGGACTAACATGGAAAGGGGTGGTTTCGTGAAGAAAAATAGGAGTGTTGTTAAAAAAATAAACAAGGGCATTAGAGTTGCTGCATAAGTTAAAACCATATGCATTCACTATAGGAGCCACCTTGTAGTCAGTGCAGCTATCTTAGAATCAAAGTAATGTCATCCTTTAACTGGCATCACTTTTAACAGGCTTGATGCATGTACTGACTGGTGCCTCAAAGGCACCATCTGACATATAAATTATATTTCAATGCTAGGGATAGAAAAAATTGCCTCTCCAGTGAAGGTGTGCTCTACAGCTACAGTTTCACATCTTCTTTCTATGCAGAATAAAGTTCAACTGGACCTTCAGATCAGGCCACCCCAGGGCAAGGACTGTAGCAATTCATCTCACCTGGCAATTCCTGATACCTAAGACAAGAATTCTATGATACCATCCATTTATACAGAAGTTGAAGCAGTTGCCTGTCTTCTTCTTCGATGCTGTTTCATTTTATAATTACAAAACTGTTTATTACCCCATTTATATATAAATAAAAGAAGGCATAATCCAATTAAATGGCTTATGCAAATTCCTATAATAGTTCACAGTTGAAATCAGAGTCAAGATCTCTAATATCCTGTCAAATGCTCATTGTATTCTAACTGATACCTTGTTTTCAATGCCTCATCACTACCTGATGGCATGTAATCATATTTTCAGTTGACATGAAGCTGAAGGGATAACTTTTTGAATTAGTGAATAAGAATCCAGAAATGTCACGGTAGATTGGAATGATGAGGCAAGTCATGAATTCAGCCAGGATAAATATCAAATCCTGCATAAAGGAATACTCAGTAAGTGTAGATAGGTTGAGGTATAATTTAACAATAGCAAATGTTAGAAAGATACGGGTTTTAGTGAAGTATAATAAATATGGGGGCAAAAATGTGACTTATTGTCAATAATACAAATCTACTCTTGGAATGTATTAAGAGATTTATGTGTTGAGGTTCCTTTCTTTACCAAGCTCATTGAGCTTGGTTTATAAAAGTGATATGCAATTTATGTCTGGATATATGGCCTCCCCTGAATCCCTTCTAAAGTGATCCAGGCAAGAAAAGAAAGTCAAACAACCTCTCTCACCTTTTTGATATCTTAAAAAAAGTTTTAAACAACCAAGTTATTATTTTTGTGTCTTCGAGCTCCCACATATTTACCTCCTAGAGAAAACATTTTCCTTGATTTTCTCAGACCCCAGGGAACTCAAAGTCACCCCTCTCTGTTGCAGACATTTTGAGGATTGCCCGTCCTGGTCTCTGTTGTAGACATTTTGAGGATTGCCTGTCCTGGTGTAGAGCCATCTACTTTCTCCTGGAATTGTCTGACTCTGATCTATACATGTAAGCCTCCCAGCCATGATGTTGAACAACATTATGCTATTTCTTCAGCCCCTTAACTCCAGTTGATTAGGTGAAGGAACATGATTGCCTTGACAACAGTTGGGGGAAGTGGCTTCTATAGATTGGTGCAAAAGTAATTGCAGTTTTTGCCATTAAAAGTGAGCAAAAGAGTCAATATCTTCTAAAAATTTGGAATTGTAACAGAGAGCTGTTTGTTGATCTGAATAAATCTTAAAGAGTAATATGTAAATCGATAATCAGTAATATCACATAAGCCAGTTTGTAGAGAAAGAAAAGGATAAAACACAAGCAGAAGATATGTAGAAGAAAGAAGAAATGAGATTGACACTCAGAAAGAATGAGACTAAAAATGGGAGAGAGATAAATGAATAAACAGATGTGATTGTTTCTCATAGTTCTAGAGATCCTTGTTTCAGCTCTTTGAACCCTGGCTGCATTTCTAACCTTCATTTTCATGAGACACTTTTTTATAATTATTTATAAAATTATTTATTAATTGTTTTATAAGTTTTTTATAATTTCTATAATATAAATCCTTTGTTTTGCTTAAACAAAACACATACCAACAGCCAAAATCTTACAGGAACTTTACAGATCCTCTAGGCCCAAAGTATCGGCCCAAACCCACAACTCACAGGTAACTCTCATTTGATTTTACAGCTTCTTCACACCTTCAGCTAACTTGGATTTGCAAATGGTTACAGTCAATATTAATAAAGACATAGTAGCATTGACAATATCTACATGTTTAGACAAGGTCTTAAATGATGACTCAAAACAGTGTCACATGCAGAACTGCAGGAGACACTCAGGATTGTCACTGTGGAAAAGAGATGACTAGAAAAGGAAAATAACCTGTCTGCAAATAATGTAACAAAATATTTAACTTAATGTAATGTAGGACGATTGTTTTTCTTAATGTTGAACCATTAAATGAAATGAGTTCTTTTGAATGGTAGTGAGTTCCCTGACATTGGAGGTATTTGAACAAATTTTAGATGCCCTCTTAACAAGGTATTGGTAGGAAACACTATTGAAGCATCAAATCAGATGGGTGGTTTGTTAGCTACCTCTAAATTTTCTTCCAACTATAAGATTCTATGATTCATAAATTTATCCTGAAGGCCAATAGGATACACTGTAAAGTGTAATGTTAGTCTCTGCGTGACTAAGAACATCTTGTTTAAATCACAATAGGTAGTACCAGCCAATACTTTCTGATGGACAGGCATTATGAAAATATATAAGGCAATAATATTTACCAGTTATATGACCTAATCCTTAAACAAAGGAGAACACCCTTTACAATGACATTTAAAGGTAGACTTTTGTTTAAGAAAAACTGTGTGAAACAACAGCTGTCAGTATAAGGTGCTTCCAACACATGTTCAGTGTTGATGACATCATATCTGAATGGTGCCTTCAGTTGAATCACCATGCCCGGAATACTGTGATCTCACCCTTCTACAAAGCTTTACAACCACATGTTTTGGTATTGTTGCTAGGGTCACAAATTAAGCTCATTAGATGCTTGAAGTTTTTAAAGTGCCTTGTTCCTCCTTTTCAAAACTGTTTATTGTATAATCCAGACATCCTCAGATGGCTTCATTTTTAATAAATTTATAATGCAGTTACTGCTATTAGGGCACATTACAACAAAATGATTAAGTCGGTTAAAATACAAAAACAATTACTAAATCTCTTTCAGCTGAACGCTCTTATGATCTAAGTACCCTTCTATTCCAGACAAGCTGAGCCTTCTATTCCAGACAAGCTGAGAGTCACAGCCAGGAGAATGACCATGCTGTTTCCCATAACTCCTTTTCTTCAAATACCCACAGCATATTAGATACCAAGAAGCCTGTCTCCTCTTTCCCCTTTATATAATTTAAGATTAACCATGTGTAGTGGGCTCAGTGATAGTTCCCAAAAACATATGTCCATAACCTAATCCCCAGAAACTTTGACTACTACCTTATATAGCAAAAGAGTAAATATCTTGTGTGTCAAAGATATAATTCAGTTAAGGATCTTGAGAGGAGGTGATTATCCTGAATTATTCAGGTGGGCCTTAAATGTCTCCGTGAGTGTTCTTATGAGAAGTAGGCAAGGGAGAGCAGAGAGACAGAAGAGGAGAAGGTAATATAAGGATGGAAGCAGAGATTGGAATGGTGGGGCCTTCATCCAAGGAACATATGTATCTGCCAGAAGCTAGAAAGGATAAGGAACAGAATCTAGCTCAGAGCTTCTGAGGGAACACAGCCCTGCTGACACTCTGATTTCTGACCTCTGGCTCAGTCACAATATACCTGTTGTCTATCACTGCCTTTGAACGGGGATGAAAGCACTCCAAGATCAACTTTTCCATATTTGTTAAAGAAGTGCCCTGAACTGAAAATTTACAAAGAGAGATAAAAAAAAGTCCTTTAAACACTTGAAATGGTATTCATCTTCATTCATAAGAAAAGTGTAATTAAAACTACTGTAAGAAAGTGTTCCTGAACCATTAGACTGGCAAAAATTCAAAAGCTTAACAATCCACTCCTTTGGAGAGGCTATGGAGAAACAGGCTGTCTCCAACATTGTGGGTGGGAATGGAAAATGGTGCGATTCTTATGGAGTGGATTTTGAAAATATTTAATTAACTATCTATGTATTTACCCTTCAATCCAGTAGTCCTACTTCTAGAAGTTTACACTCAAGATATACCTCCAAAAATATGAAAATCCCTTTTTACAAGCCTATTTAAAGCAGCTTTATTTGTAATTCCAAAATATTAGAAACCACCTAAATCTTCAAGCATAGGAGAATGGGTAAATTCAATGGAGTACTATGCTGTCATTAAAAAAATGAGGAAAGACTCTGAACACGCATAGTATTGAGTAAAAAAGAAAAACGTAAAAGAATATATATGCTATGCTATATATTATGTAAGAAAGAATAATAAGTAAATACACTACACTTGCTAATCATGACCCAAAAAGAGCAATATAGGTAGTAGCAAAATCCAGAAAAAAATAAAGTTGTTAACTACACGGGGTGAGATGGAAGGGACAGGGTGGAAGGACAGAGGAGAGTGACTCTTCTCTGAGTATATGTTGATGTACAGTTTTGACTTTTGAAGCACATTAACATCCCACATATTCACAAAGTTACATTAAACAATAAGAATGACAAGAAGAAAATACTGTCCACAAACGGAAACAAATGAGCTTAGTCATATTTTAGGTGAACACCATAGTCACGTGAAAGGGGTATAAAAGAAAGATCCAGTCTAAATGCAGATGGACGGAATGTTTCACTCTGTACTCTTGGTCTTGGGCAGAGTGATGTGTGGGATTTGATGGCAGAAGCTCAAACCAATCCTAAACTCTTTTTAGTAGAATTGTTTATGATAATGGTGTGGGTAAGAAAATTATGAAAATATTTTAGATGTATTATAGGCTTGAGCAAATGCATAAATGTGTTGGTCATGTTGGGAGCTAAGATTTTCACTGAGAAGAACAAATGAAGTGATGATTTCTGAAATAGGTACGTGTGTATGTATGTGCATGTTGATGTGCACATGAATGCAAACATATAAGTATATCTATACAAGTGTGCTTGTGTAATACATGTATGCAAATACATCTGTATATAAACATATTTTTACCAACACTGTCTGCTGCAAGGACCCAGAAGCAAGAACTCCCTAACAGCAACATGCATAGCTTATACCTAGATCTTGGTCTTTACTTCCCACTAAAAGGAAAAGGATTTCTTGAATAAATTGCTGATTTCAGGGATTGAACAGCATGGCTACAAGGTAAGCTACAAAGAAAGAAAGTGCCAAATAAGTAAAAACAAGTTGGGGGCCTATCACAAGGAGAGAGGAACCAACTAAGAGGCTTTCGCTGGCCCAATATGGACATTATGAGCATCAAAATACTCAAAAACTGCAATGAATTATGACCTCTTGAAGAAAACAGAAATTGGTGAATTTGTACTGACGATAAATAAATATATACTACTATATGGATATGGAAAGGATATATAAAAGCAGAATGCTGAGGGTTGACTGGTAACATTAATGGATAGTTGAGATTAGAATATTATCATGTTAAAACTGGAGCAGGAATGAACCCTCACTAGATGATAAGACCAGTAGGAAGTTTCAACAGGAAGCAGGATATTTGCGTAGTCTTCAAGTGACTCCCACAGGTTGTTTGATAGTTGCAGGGAAGAGAGAAAAACAACAGCTCAGTAACTATACAATGGAGAAAGGAGAAATGGGGCAACATCATGACCAGGTGATAATTAATTTTATCATTAACCATTAAAATTGACACTATTAATGAGGGACCAATGGACATCATGTGGCTCCAGATGTGTAACACAGATGTGTAACAAAATATCTCCTATGCAGCATTCCAGTGAGAATGCATAACCACCATCTAGTCAATAAAGGAAGATTAAACCAATGCTCAGTGAGAAACAGTCTATGTTTTTAAAGATAGAAGGATATATTTGTCAAAAATATCAATGTCATTAAACACAAAGAAAAGCTATGGAAATGCTCCAGGTTAAAGGAGGCTCAAGAGACTTGACCACTAAATACAACACCTGCTCCTAAACTCATGCTAAAGAATTTACGGGAAAAGGGCCATGATGTATAAAATTTACCTTCAAATAGTTCAGAAGAAAACAATTTATGTATAGATACACATAGAGTGAAAGTATGACAGAGAGAGAAAAGAACATAAATGTTAAAGTAAATTGAGTAAAATATGAAGAATAGGAAAAACTGGATGGAAGTTTATGGATATTATTTGCACTATTTAAGCAACAATTTACAAGTGAGAAATTACACCAAATATAAAGTAAAAACAAGAAGATACTCCAAAGCAGAAATTCTTTGAATCTCAGAACTGTTTGTTTGATGCCGAAATCTGAGTTGTTTGTATTTATTTAACACCTCTGGATAATCAAGATATATCTACCCAGTATGCCCCACCTGCCATGCACACACACAAAAAATCCCATAATGTCTGAAGCCTCAAAGCGCTTACACCCTAATTGAGGTAATGAAAAATGTCACTTAATAATAAAATTAACAACTTTGAATCTCAAGTAAATGCTAAGTGAAAGGAATATGTGATAGCAACTACAGTCTAATTATCTAGTTAAAATTACACTTTTCATAATTTCTGCTCTTTCTTTTTTTATCCAAGTTAGTTGATTTAAAAAAATTATTATTGCTCTGCTAAATAACACGCATTTACTTGAAAATCACTACTGAAATATTCTGCCTTTCTCTCTTCTTCAGCTTGAGGAACTCTAGTTTCTGAAACTTGTCTGTCATGCTCCTATTAATCTCCTCCTCCAGGAGTACAATGTGGTGATCAGCTGTCATTTGTGCAGGCCTGGAAACTAACAAGAGATGCCTTACCTTCATCCTTCTGTTTCTAAGTGTTAGCATTCCTATTATAGGCTTCAAATTATGAATTTGGGCTTCATTTGACTAGGTTTTTTTCATCAAATTGCAGGGTCTTTTCACCCATGTTAAAAATAAGCTACATTTTCCAGTACTGCAGGCAACTTGGTAATATGAACTGATAAAATTTTATTTACCTACTAATTGTGCTCCTATACTCATTATATAGAATTTTATTATACTTATCAATATAGGGTTTTCAAGATTCTCCTTCCACAGGCACACTGAAGACGCATCAGTTAAATTAAAATTTGACCCAAAAATATTTCAGCATAAAATGTCATTGCATGGCTTTCCTCTGTTCATAAAATGGAATAATTTAAAGAGTAGTTTCTGTTTTGGTTTACAGATGTGATTTATTTTTCCTTAATTAGAATAGAAAAATAAAAGTACCTTTAATGATAGCTTACTCAAGAAATATACGTGATGATAGGAAAGAAACCAACTATCTATTTTAATTAATGTGTCAGTACTAATGAGTAATCTAGAGGAAGTTTCAATTCTTTTCATTATAGCCATGTCAAGGTTGTAAACTTTTAAGGCTCAACCGTCTCTACAATAATTTGATAATAGTTCAAATATTTGTCACCAAAACATGTGGAATATTCTAATGTACTAGATTTCATATGAGTTTACAAGAACCCTGTTTATTTTTATATTTTTATTTGTAGAAATTTCATACAAATTTTATTTGTAGAAATTATAAATATTCATTCCTTCTGAATCAATCCTTCCTTCCGTCTTTCCTTCCTTCTGTCTTGATGAGGGTAGTGAGTGGGTAATAATTCCTTATTGACTCTCCATTATGCCTAAAATAAGTGTAGAAAATCTGAGATTCCAATTCAATCTGCAGAAAGATGCAGAAATCTGTTTATGTGCTGTTCCCCACTCATCGCTCTTGTTAACTATATTCTTTCCTTTCTCTGACTGTCCCCTTTCTTTCTTTATTATAGTGGTAAACATGGGCATCAAAGAGTGATCTTTTACTCATTCTTCTATTAATTTATTCATTAATGTATGCAATTTATTTATTAATTCATTTATTCATTACATCATGTTCCAGGCACAATCAAAGGTTAAACATAAAATCCTAAATAGAAATGTGCTTGTTTGTGTTTTAAGTACCCTACCTGAGTCTTCCAATTAGAGGTAGCATCTGCTTTTTGATTTCAGGTTTGTTTGTAGCCAGCCAGGATAATCTGTTTAAAATGTACAAAGGGATGAACTAGAAAGAACAATTAAATATGTTCATTGCTAATGAATTATTTTCATGCTGGGTGAGCTCATAAAAAAGTAATGAGAGTTACACAATGGAGTGATCTTAGGCACTATCCAATTCCCCAATTCAGGTTTACCCACTGGCTGAAAATGAATCCAGATGGATTCATCACTATAAAGTCTACCAGTTAGCATTTGCCACTTAGGAGAGATTTTTACTGTCAAGTATAATGAGTTATTACTAATGGCAGGTAGTTCCTGGCAACACCTAGTAGCATTTATCTAGAATAAGAAAGGTATAAATGAGTTCTTTGACAATCTGTACTGGCAGTAGGAAAAGATAAAGGAGAAGGCAGAAGGGATAGACCACCTGAAGGTATGGGGAGATGCAATGTACTAGTTTGAAGGTTCAAGAAGGCACATTTTATTTCATACATTTGCTTTGAATCACCCAGTACAGAAAGAGTTTTCTGTACAGGTAAAGATGGAGAAATGTGTTTCTTGGTTAAAAAAAATTAATAAACCTTTCCAGGAACTTTCCAGAATATCTAGTTAAAGACATTTTCTCACTGCCAATTTCACAGCTCCATTTCACAATTGAGCCTTTGATTTATATCCTTTTAAATTTTATACTGAAAATACAGAGATCTGCAACTTTTAAAAGCTTGAAGATGACCAATACACTACAGCAAATTGTGTCTTCTGTGGCCTCTTATGTTGACTTCTTCAATAGAGTACAATCTCCTTAAGACTGTTCTTTATTCATATTTGCTTCCCAAGGATCCAAGTGTCCTATGAGTTTATCAATTGTGAGTGGATTATTCAATTGTCAATCACTTTTCCATTCCTTATAGTAATTTAGTAACCAGTTACTGTATTAATAAAGTAATCATGTAATCACCCAACAGGTTCACCTTGCCCACCGCCTACACAGAGCTGATTTATCAAGACAGGGAAATTGCAATAAAGAAAGAGTAAATCATGGAGAGCCAGCTGTGCGGGAGACTGGAGTTTTATTGTTACCCAAATCAGTCTCCCTGAGTATCCCGGAAGCAGTGATTTTAAGGATAACTTGGTGGGTGGGAGGAATCCAGTGGGCCAGAAGTGCTGATTGGTCAGAGATGAAATCATAGGGAGTTGAAGCTGTCTTATTGTGCTGAGTCAGTTCCCCAGTGGGGGCCACAAGATCAGATAAGCCAGTTTATCCATCTGGTGCCAACTGATCTATCAAGTGCAGGGTCTGGAAAATATCTCAGGCACTGATCTTAGAAGAAGTTTAGGGAGGGTCAGAATCTTGTAGCCTCCAGTTGCATGACCCCTAAACAATAATTTCTAATCTTGTGGCTAATGTAGTCCTACAAAGGCAATCCAGTCCCCAGGCAAGAAGGAGTTCTGCTTTGGGAAGGGGCTATTATTGTCTTTGTTTTAAAGTATAAACCATAAACAAATTTTCTCCAACAGTTAGTTTAGCCTACACCCAGGAATGAACAAGGACAGCTTGGAGGTTAGAAGCAAGATGGAGTCAGTTAAGTCAGATCTCTTTCACTGTCTCAGTCATAATTTTGCAATGGTGGTTCCAATCTTATGGGCTAAGTTTAGTCTTTCAAAGAATTACTTAGGAGTCCCATTTATTGATTGTGTGTAGAGTTCTCATGTCATGATTTCCCAAAGTAGCTTTATGTTTCTGACATTAAAGAAATCCTAGAGAATATTTTAAGACCTAGTCACTGTCACGACTTATGGAATATGAATGGTTAAGTTTCTTTACACAAGGCTTTACTACCTACCTCCTGCTTATGTCTTTGTGTAGCATCTTTGATATGGGGCTGTGGAGGCATGATGTAATAATAATCAGGAAAATATGGTGTGATGGTTAAATTGATATGTCAAATTGACTGGGTCATGGAGTGTCCACACAGTAGTTAAACACTATTCTCGGTGCATCTATGAGAGTGTTGCTGGCTGAGATTAACAATTGAATGGATAGGCTGAGTTCAAGCACAATATAGGTGGGCCTCTCTCCCTAATGTGGGTGGGCCCCTCTCCAATTAATTGAAGGCCTGATGAGAACAAAAAAGCTGACCTGCCTATGATAAGGGGGAACCACCCCTATCAGACTGTCTTCTAGCTGGCACGTCAGTTCTTTTCCTGCCTTTGGACTCAAGCTGGATTATCAATCCTTCCTGGGTCTCAAACCTATCAGTCTTCAGACTCAAACTACATCATTGATGCTCCTAGTTCTCCAGCTTGCCCATTGCAGATGTGGAGACTTGCCAGCCTCCATAATCACATGAGCCAATTCCTTCTTTTACATACTCTATATGTATATAATATATAGGATGTCATTGTATATATTATATAATGTATGTTAGACATGGTAATATATACATTTACACATATGCAGGCATACCTTGTTTTACTGCATTTTGCTTTATTGTGCTTCATAGAAACTGCATTTATTACAAATTAAAGATTTGTGGCAATCCTTCACTGAACAAATGTATCCTTCCAAAAGTATGTGCTCACTGTGTCCCTGTGTCACATTTTGATAATTCTTACAATACTTCAACTTTTCCATTATTGCTATATCTGTTATGCTGGTCAGTTATCTTTGATGTTATTATTGTAATTGTTTCAGTACACTACAATTAATGCACACATAACACAGTGAACTCAGTTGATAAAAGTTGTGTTTATTTTGACTGCTCTACCAATCAGCCATTCCCTCATCTCTCACAATTTCCTTGAGCCTCCCTCTTCCCTGAGACATAAAAATATTATAATTAGGCCAGTTAGTAATCCTACAATGGTTTCTAAGTGTTCAAGTAAAAGGATCCATAGCACATCTCACAATTTAACCCAAAAGCTAGAAATGATTAATCTTATAGAGGATGCCATGTTGAAATCTGAGACAGGCTGAAAGCTACATCCCTTGTACCAGTTAACTAAGTTGTAAAAGCAAAGGAAAAGTTCTTGGAGGAAATTTAAATTCCTATTCCAGTGAACACACAAATGATAAGAAAGCAAAATGGCCTTATTGCTGAAATGGAGAAAGTTTGAGTGATCTGGATAGAAGATCAAACCAACTGCAACATTCCCTAAGTCAAAACCTAATCCAAAGGTAGGCCTTAACTCTCTTCCATTCTATGAAGGGTGAGAGAAGTGAGGAAATGGCAGAAAAAAGTTTAAAGCAAGCAAAGGATGGTTCATGCAGTTTAATGAAAGAAGCCATCTCCATAAACTAAAATTACAAAGTGAAGCAGCAAGGGCTGATGGAGAAGCTTCAGCAAGCTATCCAGAGGAACTAGCTAAGATAATTGATGAAGGTGGCTACAGGAATCCAGGAATCAACAGGCTTTCAGTGTAGACAAAACAGCCTTCTGTTGGAAGAAGATGCCATGTAGGACTTTCATAGGTAGAAGGGAGAAGTCAATGCCTGGCTTCAAAGCTTCACAAGAGAAAAGGAGAGCTGACTTTCTTGTTAGGGGCTCATACAACTTTGACTTTAAATTGAAGCAGTGCTCATTTACCATTCGGAAAGTCTCAGAGCCTTTAAAATGATGATAAATGTACTCTGTCTATGCTCTATAAATGCAAAAACAAAGCCGGGATGAGAGCACATCTCTTTACAGAATGGTTTACTGAACATTATAAGCATAATGTTGAGAACTACTGCGCAAAAAAAAAAAAAGATTTCTTTCAAAACATTATTGCTCAGTGACAATATATCTAGCCACCCAAGAGCTCTGATTGAGGTGTACAAAGAGATTAATGTTGTTTCCATGTCTATGAACACAACATGCATTCTGTAGCCTATGGATCAAGAAGGAATTTTGACCTTCAAGTCTTATTATTTAAGAAATACATTTTGTAAGGTTATAGCTGTCATAGAAAATGCTTTTTCTCATGGATCTGGGCAAAGAAAATTGAGATCCTTCTGAAAAGGATTTAGCATTCTAGATGTTATTAAAAACACTGTGATTCATGAGAAGAGAACAAAATATCAACATTAACAGGAATTAGAAATAAGTTGATTCCCACACTCATGGATGACTTTGAGGAATTCAAGACTTCATCAGACAAAGTTACTGCAGATTTGGTAGAAATAGCAAAAGAACTAGAATTAGAAGTGGAGTCTGAAGATGGGACTGAACTCCTGTAATGTCATGATGAAACTTTAATGAATAAAGCAATGTTTCTTATGGCTTTGCAAAGAAAGTGGTTTCCTGAGATGGAATCTACTCCTAGTAAAGATGCTGTAAACATTGTTGAAATGACAATAAAGAGTTTAAACCATTCTATAAACTTAGATGAAAAAGGAGTGTCAGGGTTCAAGAGGATTGACTCCAATTTTGAAAGAAGTTCTGCTGTGGGTAAAATGCTATCAAACAGCATGGCATGCTTCAGAGAAATCTTTTGTGAAAAGAAGAGAGAATTGATGTGGCAAACCTCATTGTTCTTTTAAAGAATTGACACAGTCATCCCAACTTTTAGCAACCCCCATCCTGATCAGTAAGTAGCCATCAACATTGAGTCAAGACACCCTCCATCATCAAAAAGATTACAACTTGCTGAAGGCTCACATGATATTGCATGTTAGTAATAACGTTTATTAAAAATTTAAATTATATGCATTTCTTTAAACATAGTGTTATTGCAAACTTAGTAGAGCATAATGTAACAACACTTTTTCTTTTCTTTTCTTTTTTTTTTTTTTTTGAGACGGAATCTCACTCTGTCACCCAGGCTGAAGTGCATTGGTGCGATCTCAGCTCACTGCAAGCTCCACCTCCCGGGTTCACCCCATTCTCCTGCCTCAGCCTCCTGAGTAGCTGGGACTACAGGCGCCCACCACCATGCCCGACTAACTTTTCTGTATTTTTAATAAAGATGGGGTTTTGCCGTGTTAGCCAGGATGGTCTCGATCTTCTGATCTCGTGATCCGCCCGCCTTGTCCTCCCAAAGTGCTGGGATTACAGGCGTGAGCCACCGCACTGCACCTGGCCTTAACATCACTTTCATATGTGCCGGGAAACCAAAAAATGTGTGAAACTCTGTTTATCGCTCCCTTTACTGCAATATTTGCTTTACTGGGATGATATGAAACCAAAAGTGCAATATCTTTGACGTATGGCTGATGTATATGATATATATATATACATATTTTATATAAATATATATAAAATCTCCTATTGATTGCTCTTTCTCTAGAGAACATTAATACACATGATAACTTCTAGGAATAAATGAATTTGATAAAAAATATATTTCCATTGAATTGTCTAAATACCTGTACACACATACATTAACTAATTTTTTAATAAATCACAAAGTCTGGCACATAGAGCCTAATAAATGTTGGTTAAATGAATGAATGACCCAGTAATTATGTTAATAATGTGTATTGTTGTAAATATGTTGTATTAATTATATTAATTATGCATATAAGGAAGTATACATAATGTTAACTAGACATATAAGAAAACCGTGTGTTCAAATTGTTGGAAAAGTGATCTTCCTGAAATTGAACAAATAAATGATTTCTGTCTTGAAACTTCATTTGTTTTTCTCCCTAACACATCTTTTTTGAAAAGTCTTTCATTAACTTGCAGTGTGGTTTTTGTGGTTTTAGCAAATCATGTACGCAGCGTCTCAGTCTCCTTATTCATAAAATTAACAAGTTGAAGATTTTTCAATGCCTTCCAAAGATTTCAGTTAGAATCTTTGTTGTATAATATTCAGTGAATATAATATTGAAGGGGGGAGAACAAGGAAAGATAAAATAAATTTATTAATGATTATTACTTCCAATTTTTACTTTTTAGATGTCTGTTGGAAGTCTTAGCTCATTCTGAGAGTTGATTTGGAATGGATACATTGAATATCCTACATGTCTTTTGAAAACTGAAAGGCAAAAAATAAAATATCTAGTGATTTCATTCAGTATCACTATTTTTCAATTGTATATTTCTAGCGTCAATTTCACATTTCACTTCTACATTTTAACTGTGTATATTTTCCCTTCTTTTTTTTTTCTTTTTTCTTTTTTCTTTTTTTTTTTTTTTTGAGATGGAGTCTCACTCACTCTGTCACCCAGGCTGGATGGAGTGCAGTGGCATGATCTCAGCTCACTGCAACCTCTGTCTTCCAGGTTCAAGTGATCCTCCTGCCTCAGCCTCCCAAGTAGCTGGGATTACAGGTGCCCGCCACCATGCCGGGCTAATTTTTGTAATTTAGTAGAGACAGCGTTTTACCATGTTGGCCAGGTTGGTCTCAAACTCCTGGGCTCAAGCGATCCACCTCCCTTAGTGGATCCCAAAGTGCTGGGATTACAGTCATGAGCCACCGTGCCTGGCCATAACTGTGAATATTTTCTTTCTTTTTATTTTTTAATACCTCTAGATCAATTTATTTTCTTAGTTTTATGTTGTAGTTAATGTTATAACAGCTCTTAATAAAACAAGCTACCAAGTTTAGAAAGATTATTCTATACTTTTTTTTCTAATTTCATGCTAGTATTTTGGATTAGCAAATTAAGAGGTACATTTTTTAATATTAAAACAAATTTTCCCTCTTTTCCATTTTCTTTGCATAAGAACCTTAAACGAGAGGCATTTAAAATTGTCTTCCAAACTTCCACTGAATGCAATTCAATTTTATAGTGTATATGTCTTTTATAACACGAGTTCATTAAAAAGTAATATGTAAAATTAACATATCTTTCTCTCTCAGTTCCCTTTCTTTTTTACTTTCTCATGAAACTATAATAAGGAGGGGAGAAAGAAAGAGAAATGGAGAGAGTATAGTGAAAAAAGAGAAAGGATTCAAAGATTTTTCCATGTCTATAAAGCTATCTCTTTCTCTGTACGCACATGACATACAAACACATATGCACACTTTATAGCTAACAAAAATAGAACAGATTCTGAAAAATACTAAAGAACACCTCTTTATACTAAGAATACTAATATTAATAGAAAGTTTGGCTTGTTCTAATTGAGTAAATTAACTGTAACACAATCACAAAAATAAAGAAATATACACAAAATATTTAAAGACAACAGTAGAATACCTTACGGGAAAACAGTAAATATTAGGTTGGTGCAAAAGCAATCGAGGTCTTTGCCATTACTTTTAATGCACCAACCTAACACTTCAATAGTAAAATGGGTACAAGAAAAATAAATGACACACAAAATATAAAAATGAATATAGTATAAGAAATAGATCTGAATACAAACATTGAGAGGATCATAAATTGGTGAGGCTGTGAAAGTTGGATCAACATTTTGCTGTATAATATGCCCATGTTTATCAAACTAAAAATGTAAATGACCTAGATGTTACAATTTTTATCTACAGGAAATTAGTCTAAAGGGTTAAAAATAAAGTGGAGTTATGCATGAAGATGTAATTTTGTTATATAAGTGTCAGAACATTATTGATGATAGCAAAATAGATATAATTTAAAATACCCAAATATTATGTTTTTTTAAAAAATAAAACGCCAAATATTGCACAGTCAACTAAAAACCTTACTTTATAAAAAAATATTTAACAACATAGGGGCTTGAATAACCTATGTATTTAAACATAAATATAGGCTTTGAATATAAAATTTAAAATCATAATCTTCAAAAAGGCAATCTAATATTTATATACACACAAATTTATGTGGGTAAATAAAAAAGCTAGAGATATTTCACGTCACATAATACTGACATTGATAAGATTATGAATATTTTTTCTTCCATCAGGTATCAGTTTTTTCTTCATTAAAATCTATGATTATTTATCAAGAGAGTGCCTTATTTAAGAAAAAAGGTATTATTATAGACATTTAAAAATGTTCTCTCTCAGTTTAATATCCTTCATTTTTCACTATGTACAGTGGAACAGGTTAGTCTTTTACATTCTAGAAAATTTCATACTCTTCATTATACAATGATTTGGACATCTGAGAGTCTTCAGGATTTTACTAACAACACAGCCTAATTGTTTACCAACTATCTCATTGGAACCAGATTGCATGGTAACTGGTTACTAATAATACTGTCTGACTTTTCCATAAGAAACTAACTTTGTAAAGGTGCTTATGAGAGAAAATACAATCTATGCCATTAAAAAAATCACTTAGCCAATTTAATTTTAGATAATGATTACCTATAAGATAAAAGGTGTAAAAGAGTAGTTATAGAACATACCGTGTTTTAACATTTTCGTCCCATGAGAGCTTAATACACTAAAAAAGAAAAAGAAAATCACAAATAAGCTTTTGGATTGCAATTTTATTTAAAGTCACTTAGATGGCATCTTTAGATGGTTCCATTTTACAAAACAATGATCCTATCCAAATGGTAGTGAAACAAGATTGTCTAACTTTTACTAGGATGTTGTCAAACAGGGATAAAAGTCTTGAGGCAAAAAAGAAAGCTGGAAAAGATCCTGGCATTAAAACAATCTGGTAAATACGTAGAGAAAAAAATTTTAGTTCATGCTTTCCTCTAATTAGTACACTGTCTCTAGCAGTTAGAGAATGAAGAAAATGTATTTGCTATATTGGTGATTCTCAAACTAATACTTACTGAAGAATATTGTCTAATAGTCATTTATAGGAGAAAAAGTAAAATTTTGAGGGGTGGAGGGAATTTGGTTACTTCTAGGCTGCCTTTTGCAAGGGTAAACATGAGGGGTAAAACTAAAGTATGTCTGTGTCATATTTCTCAAGCAAAACATAGGTAGCTTTGTAGCTATTTTTGTTTTCAGCTCAAATAATTTAGAAGTTAACTGGGCATCATGGCAAGATGGCTGAATAGGAACAGCTCCAGTCTATAGCTCCCAGCATGAGCGACGCAGAAGACAGGTGATTTCTGCATTTCCAACTGAGGTACTGGGTTTATCTCACTGGGGCTTGTCTGATAGTGGATGCAGCCCACCGAGTGTGAGCCAAAGCAGGGCAGCACATTGCCTCACCTGGGAACCACAAGGGGTTGGGGAATTCCCTTTCCTAGCCAAGAGAAGCCGTGACAGACAGTACCTGGAAAATCGGGACATTCCCACCCTAGGACTGCGCTTTTCCAATGGTCTTAGCAAACGGGACACCAGGAGATTATATCCTCTGCCTGGCTCAGAGGGACCCACGCCCACAGAGCCTTGCTCACTGCTAGCACAGCAGTCTGAGATCAAACCGCAAGGTGGCAGCAACGCTGGGAGAGGGGCATCCGTCATTGCCGAGGCTTGAGTAGATAAACAAAGAGGCTGGGAAGCTTGAACTGAGTGGAGCCCACTGCAGCTCAAGGAGGTCTGCCTGCCTCTGCAGAGGTGGAGTCCACCTCTGGGGGCAGGGCATAGCTGAGCAAAAGGCAGTAGAAACTTCTGCAGACTTAAACGTCCCTGTCTGACAGCTTTGAAGAGAGTAGTGGTTCTCCCGGCACAGAGTTTGAGATCTGAGTCTGTCTAGACTGCCTCCTCAAGTAGGTCCCTAACCCCCAAGTAGCCTAACTGGGAGACACATCCCAGTAGGGGTCGACTGACATCTCATACAGGTGGGTGCCCCCTGAGACGAAGCTTCCGGAGGAAGGATCAGGCAGCAATATTTGCTGTTCTGCAATATTTGCTGTTCTGCAGCCTCTGCTGGTGATACCCAGGCAAACAGGGTCTGGAGTGGACCTCCAGCAAACTCCAACAGACCTGCATCTGAGGGTCCCGACTGTTAGAAGGAAAACTAACGAGAAGAAAGGACATCCACACCAAAACCCCATTTGTACGTCACCATCATCAAAGACCAAAGGTAGATAAAACCACAAAGATGGGGAGAAACCAGAGCAGAACAGCTGAAAATTCTAAAAATCAGAGCACCTCTTCTCCTCCAAAGGAATGCAGCTCCTCACCAGCAACGGAACAAAGCTGGACGGAGAATGACTTTGACAAGTTGAGAGAAGAAGGCTTCAGACGATTGGTAATAACAAACTTCTCCAAACTAAAAGAGGATACTTGAACCCATCGTAAAAAAGCTAAAAACCTTGGAAAAAGGCTAGATGAATGGCTGACTAGAATAAACAGCATAGAGAAGCCCTTAAATGACCTGATGGAGCTGAAAACCATGACACGAGAACTACGTGACCCATGCACAAGCTTCAGTAGCCAATTCGATCAAGTGGAAGAAAGGGTATCAGTGATTGAAGATCAAATGAATGAAATGAAGCGAGAAGAGAAGTTGAGAGCAAAAAGAATAAAAAGAAATGAACAAAGCCTGCAAGAAATATGGTACTATGTGAAAAGACCAAATCTACGTCTGATTGGTGTACCTGAAAGTGATGGGGAGAATGGAACCAAGTTGGAAAACATTCTGCAGGATATTATCCAGGAGAACTTCCCCAACCTAGCAAGGAAGGCCAACATTCAAATTCAGGAAATACAGAGAACGTCACAACGATACTTCTCGAGAAGAGCAAATCCAAGACACATAATTGTCAGATTCACCAAAGTTGAAATGAAGGAAAAAATGATAAGGGCAGCCAGAGAGAAAGGTCCAGTTACCCACAAAGGGAAGCCCATCAGAATAACAGTGGATCTCTCGGGAGAAAGTCTACAAGCCAGAAGAGAGTGGGGGCCAATATTCAACATCCTTAAAGAAAAGAATTTTCAACCCAGAATTTCATATCCAGCCAAACTAAGCTTCATAAGTGAAGGAGACATAAAATCCTTTACAGATAAGCAAATGCTGAGAGATTTTGTCACCACCAGGCCTGCCCTAAAAGAGCTCCTGAAGGAAGCGCTAAACATGGAAAGGAACAACAGGTACCAGCCACTGCAAAAACATGCCAAATTGTAAAGACCATCAACACTATGAAGAAACTGCATCAACTAGTGAGCAAAATAAACAGCTAACGTCATAATGGCAGGATCAAATTCACACATAACAATATTAACCTTAAATGTAAATGGGCTAAATGCTCCAATTAAAAGACACAGACTGGCAAATTGGATAAAGAGTCAAGACCCATCAGTGTTCTGTATTCAGGAAACCCATCTCACGTGCAGAGACACACATAGGCTCAAAATAAAGGGAGGGAGGAAGATCTACCAAGAGAATGGAAAACAAAAAAAAGCAGGGGTTGCAATCCTAGTCTCGGATAAAAGAGACTTTAAAACAACAAAGATCAAAAGAGACAAAGAAGACCATTACATAATGGTAAAGTGATCAATTCAACAAGAAAAGCTAACTATCCTAAATATATATGCACCCAATACAGGAGCACCCAGATTCATAAAGCAAGTCCTTAGTGATCTACAAATTGACTTAGACTCCCACACAATAATAATGGGAGACTTATAACACCCCACTGTCAACATTAGACAGATCAACGAGACAGAAAGTTAACAAGGATATTCAGGAATTGAACTCAGCTCTGCAGCAAGCAGACCTAATAGACATCTACAGAACTCTCCACCCCCAATCAACAGAATATACATTCTTCTCAGCACCACATCACACTTATTCCAAAATTGACCACGTAGTTGGAACTAAAGCACTCCTCTGCAAATGTAAAAGAACAGAAATTATAACAAACTGTCTCTCAGACCACAGTGCAATCAAACTAGAACTCAGGATTAAGAAACTCACTCAAAGCCGCTCAACTACATGGAAACTGAACAACCTGCTCCTGAATGACTACTGGGTACATAAAGAAATGAAGGCAGAAATAAAGATGTTCTTTGAAACCAATGAGAACAAAGACACAACATATCAGAATCTCTGGGACACATTTAAAGCAGTGTGTAGAGGGAAATTTATAGCACTAAATGCCCACAGGAGAAAGCAGGAAAGATCAAAATTGACACCCTAGCATCACAATTAAAAGAACTAGAGAAGCAAGAGCAAACATATTCAAAAGCTAGCAGAAGGCAAGAAATAACTAAGATCAGAGCAGAACTGAAGGAGATAGACAAAAAAACCCTTCAAAAAATCAATGAATCCAGGAGCTGGTTTTTTGAAAAGATCAACAAAATTGATAGACTGCTAGCAAGACTAATAAAGAAGAAAAGAGAGAAGAATCAAATAGACGCCTTAAAAAATGATAAAGGGGATATCACCACTGATCCCACAGAAATACAGACTACCATCAGAGAATACTATAAACATCTCTATGCAAATAAACTAGAAAATCTAGAAGAAATGGATAAATTCCTGGACACATACACCCTCCCAAGACTAAACCAGGAAGAAGTTGATTCCCTAAATAGACCAATAACAGGCTCTGAAATTGAGGCAATAATTAATAGCCTACCAACCAAAAAAAGTCCAGGACCAGAAAGATTCACAGCCGAATCCTACCAGAGGTACAAGGAGGAGCTGGTACCATTCCTTCTGAAACTATTCCAATCAGTAGAAAAAGAGGGAATCCTCCCTAACTCATTTTATGAGGCCAGCATCATCCTGATATCAAAGCCTGGCAGAGACACAACAACAAAAAAGAGAATTTTAGACCAATATCCCTGATGAACATCAATGCAAAAATCCTCAATAAGCTGGAAACCATCATTCTGAGCAAACTATCGCAAGGACAGAAAACCAAACACCGCATGTTCTCACTCATAGGTGGGAACTGAACAATGAGAACATTTGGACACAGGGTTGGGAACATCACACACCGCGGCCTGTCATGGGGTGGGGGGAGCGGGGAGGGATAGCATGAGGAGATACACCTAATGTAAATGATGAGTTAATGGGTGCAGCACACCAACATGGCACATGTATACATATGTAACAAACCTGCACGTTGTGCACATGTACCCTAGAACTTAAAGTATAATAAAAAATTAAAAATTAAAATTAAAAAATTTAAAAAATAAAACTCCAGTATAATCATTTAAACAAAAAAAAGACACACACAAAAAATTGGGCTTCGTGAAGTGATAGTCACAGAGCAACACACACACATGCACACACACACGCACACACACATATGCACACATACACACCACACAAAATCAGCCTAAAGACTGGCAGAGTTTGGAAACATAGAGATATATTTCCCTGTCATAGAATCCAGATGTGCTCTTTAAATAAAAGATCAAGAGACAAGAAAGCTAGCAAACATAGCTCCAATAAGAAAACTTTATAGAAAAATCCAAGTCTTCCAGAAAATCTTATGTCACACATTTTCATTATTCCTATAGAAGTACAAAATGGTTTTATTTATTTTGAAGCAACATTGACACTCTTGCAATTTTGAAGAATACATTTGAAGGGCTGAAAAAAATGTTAATTTCCCCCCCAAAATATAACTAATATAAAGTTCTTTCCCCATCAACTCAAGTGAGATTATCTCCTCTGAACTGAGTACATACGTGGACTCAGTTAACATTCCAGGGTGTGTAAGAGAAATGTAAGATATCCCCTCTCTGTTTCTTAGATATTTTGCTTAAGAGGTGGAACTGACACCAAATGATAAGATAATGGTACAGGCAAAATAAAATCAATGGCCAAATTATGCGGTACAGAGCAAAAGCACTTTGCTTCTACAAATTGCTTTGAAAACATCATAAAGATAGCAGAGGGGAAAAGGAGGCAGGGATAAGGATGGAGGTGTGCAAGGAACTTTGCTTACATGCAGACATGGAGATTGCTTTCTATAAGGATCCCATAAAAACTATCATTTCCTTCATTGTAACACCTTTGTTTCCTTTGAGACAGAGACGTTTTTGAGCATTTAAGGACAGAGAGGAGAAGAAATGCAGGACATTTAAAAAATTATTTGAGTGAGAATTTATTTTAAAGATGATTCTCAGGAAATTCCTGGCTTGTCCAGGTGCCTTGGGGTCTGTTCCAGAGCCACTTTTCGCTTTTCAAATGCTGTTTAGGAGCAAGTACCCACATGCCACCAGGCACTCCTCCTGTTGACAGTTTTGACCTTTATTAATTCAGGTCTGCTCAATCTCCACTACGGATCTGTCAATGCTGACACCTTGTCACACTCTGATTTTGCAGAGAGAATGCTGAAAGAGTTCACAGGCCATCACACTGGTTGATTTGATACCAGAGAGAAAATAATAATAATAAAAAAATCCAGGACAAACTTCATGCCCTTTCTATATTTAAACACAGACTAAATTGAAGTTGCACTGAGGATTACTCGTGTGTCCCCAAGAGTTCTCAAGATGAATACCAGACTTACTATGGGAATAGTTATACTATTCATATGCTTATATAAATTGGTTTTCATGAGTAAATTTCCTGGTTTGCCCTTTTCGACTGAAATATGTCCCTTGATGCGGGAAAACGCAATAAAGCAATGCAGTGTGTTTTTTAATCTTTGGAAAGTTGAAAAGGTTACATGCTGTGTGTGAGTTTTCTATTCTCAGAATATGCATACACATTCCATGAAACAAAACAACAACAACAAAAAAATAAGTATAATTTAATAGATCCCTGTGTCTTTTTTTATCCCTACACTGTTGCTTTCTGGCAAAGAACGCGTAAAAGTAACTTTGCAGGCCGGGCGCGGTGGCTCACGCCTGTAATCCCAGCACTTTGGGAGGCCGAGGCGGGCGGATCACGAGGTCAGGAGATCGAGACCATCCCGGCTAAAACGGTGAAACCCCGTCTCTACTAAAAATACAAAAAATTAGCCGGGCGTAGTGGCGGGCGCCTGTAGTCCCAGCTACTTGGGAGGCTGAGGCAGGAGAATGGCGTGAACCCGGGAGGCGGAGCTTGCAGTGAGCCGACATCCCGCCACTGCACTCCAGCCTGGGCGACAGAGCGAGACTCCGTCTCAAAAAAAAAAAAAAAAAAAAAAAAAGTAACTTTGCAGAGAAGCAGCAGTTTGTTTTTGTAAATTTCAATTGGCAATCACGACCTTAAGTCTTTTCTATGCAGAAAAACTAAAAATAAGAGGTGCGCACCTTTGAGATTAAGTTATTACATTACAGCATTCGGGCTCAGTGCCGTTTACCCAATGAAGTAAACTGCAACTTGCTGACATTTACTTAAAATTTAGGTATTTTGCTTCACCATTTCTCTACCCCATTAGCCACAATATTATTGTAAAATAAACATCTCTTAGTAATTATACTATCATTAGGGTAAGTATTCTTACTTATTTTATAGTAATGTTAATGTTTAATTTGAATCATCTACTGATTTTTGTCACTTTCCTTAAAAGTAGCCAACATAGGTGAACAGGCCAAAGAATATATAGATTTCCTCTGCATAGGGCAAACTGATTTCAGAAGGGTTACATCATTAAATTTGGGAATTAGAAAGAGCCTTGAAAAAATTCCCTCATTCAACAGATGTAAATGTCAGAGACATTATCTAAGTCATGCAGGTTGCACAGCAGGCAAGAAGCAGGACCAAATTCCAGAGGTCTGGAGACTTCGTGTTTACTTTCTAAGCAACTGCTTGCAATATTAATCCCGAATTAATTACAGATGCAGAAAAATAAATAAATAAAAAAGAAAAGAAGAAAAGAAACCAAAACCTCATGCACTTTGAGTTCACTAATAAAATGTTTAAAAATATTTCCAACAGTCATTGAATTAATCTTGCTTTACAATAAAATTTAGAAATAACTTATTTTCATTTTAACGACTTATTTATAACTTATTTGTTAGAAATAAGTTTAGTTGGCCAGGCATGGTGGCTCACGCCTGTAATCCCAGCACTTTGGGAGGCCAAGGCGGGCGGATCATGAAGTCAGGAGTTCAAGACCAGCCTGACCAACATGGTGAAACCCCGTCTCTACTAAAAATACAAAAATTAGCTGGACCTGGTGGTGTGTGCCTGTAATCCCAGCTACTCAGGAGGCTGAGGCAGGAGAATCACTTGAACCCGGGAGGCGGAGGTTGCAGTGAGCCATGATTGCGCCATTGCACTCCAGCCTAGGCGACAGAGCTAGACTCCATCTCAAAAAAACAAAACACAAACAAATAAAAACAACAACAAAAAAGAAATAAGTTTAGTTATTTACAACTTATTTAAATTTGAAATAAGTTTACTTATTTAAAAAACTAAATAAAGGGGCCAGGTACAGTGGCTCATGCCTATAATCCCAACACTTTGGGAGGCTGAGTTGCTAAGGTGGGCAGATCACATAAGCTCAGCAGTTCGAGACCAGCCTGTCCAACATGGTGGAACCCCGTCTCTACTAAAAATACAAAAGAATTAGCCAGGTGTGGTGGCACATGTCCATAATCCCAGCTACCAGCTACTCGGGTGGCTGAGGCAGAATCGCTTGAACCCAGGAGGTATAGGTTGCAGTGAGCCGAAATTGCCCATTGCATTCCAGCCTAGGTGACAAGAGTGAAACTCCATCTCCAAAAAAAAAGAAGAGGCAGAAACTAAATACATATTTTTGAAATGAAAATAAAAGGCTTCACATTTTAAAGCTGAGGGATGGAGATAGGAAATGGTCACTACTACATTTTTAACAACCTTTTTCCCCCTTCACCTCTACATATAGGAAAAAGAAAACTGGGCAAAGGGGAAGGTCAGTGGATGATCACAGACATATGCTGATGAAGGGTGTACCATGTGCCAGGCCTACACTAGGAAGAACTTTACATCTTATCTTTCACTCATTCTTGGTTCCTTGACCCAGGCTGAAATTACTTACATAACATGTATGAGCAAAAGAGGCCTAATATATACATTCTACTTCACAGGCAAAAACATGACTGTAAATGCAGTCTGCCCTAAAAAATAAATAATTGTATACGTATTAGGAGTGCCCTTAAAAACTAGGGATTCCAATTTTTTTTTTTCATTGTATTTCACACACAGGGCTCTGAAAACAAAAGTACTGATGTGCGTTTTGGTAGTAATTTATATGAGAAAATAGGTGATCTGAGAATGCACATGCTAGGTTGCATAAAATCATATTGTGTATTCCCAAATGTCTTTGATGTAAATAAAAATTACATATATGGCATATGTATTCTTTCGCTTGAAGAATCCCACAACCTTCCTATGGGATTCTTTCAGTGGAACACATTGTCCCAAATTTTTCACCATAAATATATATGTATATTTCAGGGGCAGGGTTATTACAAGAAAACAGGGAAAAATTGCCAGGAAAGGTGTCCATTTTCAAGTATTCTCAATCTATTAGCAGTCCAATATTTACAAGCATATATTTGAGCTGTTAATCTCAAATCATTATCATTTTTTCGCTAAAGCAATCTTCTAAATATGTAAGTTTGGCAGATGATTTCTTATGTAAATATTAAAGACAATTATTTATTTGAGATTATTTGATTTAACATAATTATTTATTCACGTGCAGACGGGTGACTTTGGAGGTTCGTTCCCACCCAAAGCTCATGTTGAATTGTAATTCCCAGTGTTGGAGGTGGGGCCTGATGGGAGGTGTTTGGATCATGAGGGTGAATCCCTCGTGAACAGCTTGGGCCATCCCCTTGGTGATAAGTGAGCTCCCACTCTAAGTTCACACAAGATCTGGCTGTTTAAAAGTGTTTGGCGCCTCCCCTGACTCTTTCTTGCCCCTGCTTTGGTCATGTGATGTTCCTGTTCCCTCTTCACCTTTTGTGAGGATTGTCAGCTTCCTGAGGCCTCCCTAGAGGCCAAGCAGATGCCAACACCATGCTCCCTGTACAGCCTGCAGAACCATGAGCCAATTAAACCTATTTTCTTTATAAATTACACAGCCTTAGGTATCTCTTTATGCAATGCAAGAATGGCCTAATACAGAAAATTGGCACTAAGAAGTAGGGTATTGCTATAAAGGTACCTGAAAATGTGGAAGCAGCTTTGGAATTGGGTAACAGACAGAGGTTGAAAGAATTTAGAGGGCTTAGAAGACAGGAAGATGAGCAAAAGTTCGGAACTTCTCGGAGACTGGTTAAATAGTTGTGACCAAAATGCTTTTACGAACAATGAAGTCCAGGCTGATGAGGTCTCAGATGGAAATGAGGATGTTATTGGAAACTGGGGCTAAGATCACATGTGTTGTGCCTTAGCGAAGAGTTTGGCTGCATTCTGTTCATACCCCGGGGATCTGTGGATGTTTAAACTTCAGAGTGATGATTTAGGTTATCTAAAAGAAATTTCTAAGAAGCAAAGGGTTCAAGAAGTGACTTGGCTGCTTCCAACAACCTACACTCATATGTGCAAGCAAATGACCTAAAATTTGGAACACATATTTAAAACGGAAGTAGAGCACAAAAGTTTGGAAAATTTGCAGCCTGGCCATGTGGCAGAGGAATAAACCAACACAATGAGAAAAAGACCTTGCAGGTATTTTAGAGAACTTCATGGCAGCTCCTCCCATCATAGACCTAGAGGTCTAGAGAAACACATAATTTCACAGCCAGGACCAGGGCCCTGCTGAGCTGCGCAGCCTCAAGATACTGCTTCCAACATCCTAGCTGCTCAAGCTCCAGCTGGGGCTCAAAGGGACCCAGGGACAGCTCAAGCTGCCACTTTAAAGAAGTCAAGTCATAAGCCTTGGCAGCTTCCACATAGCATTAAACCTGTGGGCACACAGAGTGTAACAGTGGAGGCCTGCCAGGCTCTGCAAAGATTTCAGAGGATGTATCAGAGAGCCTGGGTGCTCAGGCAGAAGCATGATGCAGGGGCACACTCCTCACAGAAAACCTCTACTAGGACAGAGTCAGAGGGGAAACGTGGGGTTGAAGCCCAACACAGAGTCCCCACTCTGGCACTGCCTTTAGGAGCTATTGGAAGAGGGCCACCATCCTCCAGACCCCAGAATGGCAGATCCACCAGCAGCTTGTACCCTCAGTATGAAAAAGTGGCAGATACTCAACGTCAACCCATGAGAGCAGCTGCTGAAACCTGCGAAGCCACAGAAAGAGAGCTGCCCAAGGCTTGGGAGGCTACCCCTTGCAGCAGTGTGCCCTGAATGCAGGATATGGAGTCAAAGGAGATTTTTTTTTTTTTTTCAAGACAGAGCCTTGCTCTGTCATCCATGCTGGAGTACAGTGGCACGATCTTGGCTCACTGCAACCTCCACTTCCTGATTTCAAGCAATTCTCCTGCCTCAGCCTCCCTAGCAGCTGGGATTACAGGCATGTCCTACCACACCTGGCTAATTTTTGTATTTTTGGTAGAGACGGGGTTTCACCATGTTGGTCAGGCTGGTCTCAAACTCCTGACCTTGTGCTCCACCTGCCTTGGCCTCCCAAAGTGCTGGCATTACAGGCATGAGCCATTGCACCCAGCCCTCAAAGGAGATTATTTTGTAGCTTTAAGATTTAATGACTTCCCTGCTGGGTTTTGAACTTGCATGTGACTAGTAGCCCCCTTCTTTTGGCCAATTTCTCTCTTTTAGAATGACAGTGTTTACTAAATGCCTATACCCTCATTATAACATTGTATTTTGGAAGTAAATAACATTGTAGCATTGTATTTTGGAAGTATTTTGTTTTTAATTATACAGGCTCATAGGTGGAAGGGTCGTACCTTGTCTCAGATGAGACTTCGGCCTTTTGAGTTAATGATGAAACAAGTCAGGACTTTGAGGGACTGTTGGGAAGGCACGATTGTATTTTGCAATGTGAGAATGGCATGAGATTTGGGAAGAGCCAGGATGGAATAACATAGTTGGGATATTTATCCCTGCCCAAATCTCATGTTGGATTTTAATTCCCAATGCTGAAGGTGGGACCTAATGGGATGTGTTTGGGTCATGGGGCCACATGCTTCATGGCTTAGTGCTGTGTTTGTGATAGTGAGTGAGTTCTTGTGAAATCTGATTGTTTGAAAGCGTCTGGGTTCGGGTACGGTGGCTCGCGCCTGTAATCTCAGCACTTTGGGGGGCCAGGGTGGGTGGATCACTTGAGGTCAGAAGTTCGAGACCAGCCTGGCCAACATGGTGAAGCCCTGTCTCTAGTAAAAATATAAAAATAGCTGGGCCTGGTGGTGGGTGTCCGTA
This sequence comes from Homo sapiens, assembly GCF_000001405.40. Lineage (NCBI taxonomy): Eukaryota > Metazoa > Chordata > Mammalia > Primates > Hominidae > Homo > Homo sapiens. Next base: position 166,092,422 of record NC_000005.10, on the reverse strand, counting down.
ATCCCAGCTGCTTGGGAGGCTGAGGCAGGAGAATCACCTGAACCTGGGAGGTCGAGGTGCAGTGAGCCGAGATCATGCCACTGAACTCCAGCCTGGGCAACAGAGTGAGACTTTGTCTCAAATAATTAATTTAAAAAAAAAAGTGTTTGGCACCTCCCCAACCCTGTATTGCTCCTGCTTTCACCATTTGAAGTGCCTGCTCCCACTTTGCCTTCCACCATAAGTAAATATTCCCTGAGGCCTGCTCAGAAGCTGAGCAGATGCTGGTACCATGCTTGCATAGCCTGCAGAACCATGAGCCAACTAAACCTCTTTCCTTTATAAATTACCCAATCTCAGGCATTTCTTTATAGCAACACAGGAGAAGACAATGCACAGATGAACATACTTCCTGATTTTACTGGATTAGTCAAATCCAGTAAAATCCTCACGCACATGAGTTTGCAAAATAAGATGCAGTAAGTTGTATTGACCAATCCCTTCTAGTACCTTAACCATCAGAAAGCTGAGATAAGTGTTGTATTTGAAGGGATGTTTACTGTTTTAAGGTATGTTAAAACTGTGTGTTGTATCTATTGTTTTCATCAAAGATTTTATAGTTTTAGTTGATCATTAATGCAGTTATGATGTACAATAACATGATACACTGACATCATCACACCTGGGAACTTCACTTCAGTGCATCTATTCTCTGAAAAGTCTATTCAAGTTAAGGACTGTGGCATATGTCTGCTATATGAATCACTTAATGTAGGGCATCCAACATGTGTTCCAAAATAGTCCCACTCGATGTTCCACGACAAGGAGCACAATATGATTTACCTAAATGTGTGAAATATTCCTGTGGGAGACTCATAATGCATAGTCACATAGTTAAGACTCTTAGATGTTCTAGAATAAGAAACGTTTACCTACGTCTAAATATTTTTCTTAAACTTATTGGAACCTAAAATCTTCTCCTTTTTCTAAGAACTAGAAGATCATGGAACGTATTTTGGGAAACTCTACCTTGGCACAATATAGCATTAGCTAGATAACAAACCCTCATAGACTTTGTGGCCAAACATCCATACCATTTGAGATTATCACACTTAAAAATACTTTCTCCCTCTTTATGCCTGTAAGGTGCTGAATTTTAGAGTTAAGAAACATATCAGAACTAAAAATAAAATAAGATTCCTAAAAAATTTAGTGAGGAGGCCTTCAAACAGGTATTAAGTACATTCATAACTCTTCACATTGTGTGATTCTTAAACCTGTGCGGTGTTTCAGAGACTTCTGACCACTGTTGACAAATAACAAAAGAAGGAAGCTAAAAACAAACCTGATCCTTAGGCCTATTATAGTTTCTCATAGTTATTTTTTATCTTTTAATTATTGTGTGCAATAGGGTAAAAAGAGAGAGTTTTCTTTAAGTAATTCATGAAACTGTCCATATATCATCAAAGTCATCATTCCTGCCCTCAGTTCCACATTGTGCCCTTTAGCATGCAGCTGAACATGACATTAATAATAATGTCTAATTAACGGATACCTATCCATTTCACGAAAGAAAGGTGTGTGGCACGTTTCCAGAATCATAGGAGTGCCCTTTTAGAACACTGGAAACTAATCTCAATTTTTCAATGCCAAAGTCAAAGATGTTGGCAGCGGTACCATGCTGTGCTCAGTTGAAATTTCACATATGAAATTTCTCACCAAATCAGAAACAAGGAAGAATCATTTGGAGAATCCATACAAATTAAAGAAACTCCCCTAATCTCTGAATTCTTGGAAGTCATTAAAAATATTTTATTTTACATTAAATAAAAGTTACTGTCAAAATTTCACCCAGTTTTCTTCACACATCTTCAGGGTAGGATAATCAGTTATTAATATGGTTCACTGGGGAAGATAAGAAAAATAATGAAGTCACATGAAGGCAACTGACATGGCTGAGGAGATGAAATTTACAAAACGAGGTGTGCAGCCATTTTGTCACAAAACTTTATGAGACAACCTATGCTTCAGATTAAAACAGAGGCTTTCTCTTCTTTTTCTTTAAAGGAACTAGTTCTGTTCCTCTTACAACAGCAAAAAAAGAACAAAAAAATTATATTTTTATTAATTCTAAATAAAACTTGAATTTCAACAACAAAAAATTTAACATTCAATTTTCCCTTCTTCTTCTTCTTCTTCTTTTTTTTTTTTTTTTTTTTTTTAAGACAGAGTCTTGCTCTGTTGCCGAGGCTGGAGTGCAGTGGCACGATCTCAGCTCACTGAAACCTCTCCACCTCCCAAGTTCAAGTGGTTCTCCTGCCACAGCCTCCTGAGTAGCTGGGATTACAGGCACACACCACCACACCTGGTTAATTTTTGTATTTTTGATAGAGATGGGGTTTCACCATATTGGCCAGCCTGGTCTTGAACTCCTGACCTCAGGTGATCCACCCACTTCAGCCTCCCAAAGTGATGGGATTACAGGTGTGAGCCAACGCATCTAGCCTAATTGTGTATTTTAAAGTGTTTCTGTTTCATGCTTTAATGGTGATGAATTTTAAGGACAGTTTCTCATGACATAGACAAACTGTTTTGTTTCAGTAGTTAGGAATAGCAAGTCCCATAGAATATCTAAAAAACGTGGTACAATCCCTTTATTTTAATAGGTGGCAAAAGTAGGTCCAGAGATGTAATGTGACTGACACAAACTGGTGTAACTTTTTTAAAAAAAATGCAGTATTGAGACAAATAACTTGTTTTGAACTGAAAAAGTGTGGACATGTAATTTTGAGATAAAGTACATATATAAATGTCATAGACTTTTTCATAGACAGAAGCACTAGTAATCATCATTACTTAAATTGCATATAAGTAACCTGGGCCCCAGTGATGACTGGCTCCAAGTTGCCCAGATGGTTAATTCCAGAGATTTACAGGGACCACCAAGTTTTCTAACTTCCCATATATAACTGTTCTATTATATGTAAATTTTTATTGATTCTGGACAACTAACAGCCACTATGTAAACTACAAATTATAATTTATTTTTGAAACTTACATTATACACAACACTTCTTATACATAAAGAAGAAAGCATAGTGTAATGTAAATAACACAGATTTCATAGGGAGAATTAGCAGAGGTGGTAGTAGTAGTAGTGGTAGTAATAGTAGCAGCTATGTATTCAGCCTCAGTTTGCACTTCTATGAATTAGGATGATAACACTGTAGCAGAGAGTTCCCTAAGGATTTAATAAGAAAACAGACATAATATATTTTTGGTACAATCTAAATACAAAGGCTACAGAGAAGTCAGTAATCTCTATTTGACTATTCAGTGGGAATTGTAAGGTGATACAGTATTCGAGTCAACAATGTTCAGGTCAAAGGATGTTTACTAAACACCTTACAAAGCATACTATTCTGCTGTTTTAAAACAAATAAACCTCTGACACTGCTCCTTTTTGTTAGTTTCCTATTTGTACAATTTTCAAATATGGAGGAAAAAAGCTCCCAATTAAACTTGAGTTTTGTGATTTACTGGACTTTATGCAACCAAGAGTGAGAAACTACTAAGCTGGTATGGCCAGTGCTACAAGTGTCCTGTTAGCTACTGTCCCTAGGATTTTTAAAAATATTTATGGATATAAACTCGAGTGGGAGTGGGGATGGGGATGGGGATGGGTGGGGGTTGGTGGGGGGGAGAGAGAAAGTGACAGTTGAAAGCAGCTAAGTGGTTTCTAACTCTCAAGTGTCAGATACTTAAATCCTGTATTTCTTTAGACAAAATGCTCCTTTGTTCTTGGAAAGTCATCTCACTGAGCCTTTTAGTTATGCAAATGTAAAGCAAATACTCTTTGGAAATGGAGATGTGGTTCTAAAGAGTGAAAACTATTTCATGAGAAGAAATGGAAAAGTTGTCTACTCGGGTTGCTGTAGGAGAAAACGCCTTCTAATCTAATCTAATCTAATCTAATGAGATTGCCTGGCCTCCTTGAGTGAGTCCCAGTGACTGTGGTTAAAAGAGTGGACACTCAAAGGGGATGAAAACTCTTTTCACAAGGCAGTATGCAATATTCTGGCCTCACGTGAGCATGGCGTTAGGGCCCAGGAAATGAAGTGTGGCCCAGAGTCACTGTCTCTTTCCAAAACCCAGCCTCATTCTTGTACAACTTGTACAACAATAATAATCATTATTATTTTGTTGTATTTTGAATTATTTTTGTAATTTCAAGAATCATATTTCAAGTTTCTAAGTTATTACGATTTTTTTTCAAATCTTTCTGCTCTTCCTTTTTAACCTGTTTTTGGTTTCTCATTTTTGTGATCCCATCTTTTATTTATTTAAATAGTCATAGGTGAGCATTTTATATTTTGTACCTTATCACTGTGAGATCTGAAGTACTTGGGGAACTAAATCTTTCATTTAGTGTTTCTGCTGACTGTCACTCCTGGCACTCATTTCTTGGTATATTTGGGAATATTGAATGGAAGTTCATATTTGTTCTTATCTGTGCAAAATCTGAAAGCTTAAATTGATGGAATTTTTTTTTCAGATGTTCTCTTTCATTGAGTTGTTTTGTTCATGAGACAAGGCTCACGACTGACTTGGTCTACTCTAGTCCCATTCTGGCTTCATCCTGAAAATCTATGACTGGTAGGCCCAAGGCTTAGTATGCACCCAGTCGGGGACACTATGGGTACTCACTGCTCACAGTCTTTGTTTTAGCTTGCTTTGGGGGGTTTCTGTTCTGTTTTGAAAATTTCTGTTCTTCTGTCCTTTGTCTGTCAGAGATTTCCCTCATGTTCTTGATTCCAGCAATACAATAATGCTATTATTTTATGATGTCCTTCAGATTTTTTTTTTTTTTTTTGGAGGACCTCTCAGCATACCTGCTCTGCCATATTACTAGAAGAGGGAATCTGTATTTTTTTCATTGATAAAATGATCGTCTAGACTCCCTTCCAGTGAGATGTGAACATATTTACAAACAGCCAATGATAAATGAATATAATTGATATGTGCACCTTCCGGGTCACTTCCTTGAAGACAAGTTGCTTGCCTTGAACTTCTCACCCACCTAGCTCCCAGCGCCCTTCCTCCTGCCTGAAAAACAGTAACAAAGGAAGCCCCAGCTGTCCATATGGTAAAGGAAGCCATATATCAAGGAGGACAGAACCTACTGTTCCACCTGTGTTCCCAAATGACCTCGTGGAACAGAAACCCTTTCTTAGCCTGAATGTCATGTGAAACAAACAAATAAACAAAAACAAACTCCTGTGTTGTCTGAATCTCAGCATTCTGTGACCTTCTAGACAAAACAACATATATCCTAACATGTGCATTTCATTTTCAGGGGTAACACGATTAGATACCCTAAAAACAACAGGCAAGAAAAATGTCGAATTTTACAAACAAATTATCTAATCTTGTAACTGAAGATTGCAGTTGAAATTAAAATAAAGAAACTAGTACCTAGGGGAAGAAAAAAGAACACAGAGAGAAGGGGGGTATAAAGAGTTTAAAAGTGACAGAAAACTGAAAAAAGTCTATCTTATCTTATGCCAGAGGGGGAAAAAGTTGTAATTACCCAGTAAGATAAAAGCTGTTGAATTTGTAGCAATGGAAATATTAAGACAAATTAAATCCCAAGCTTATCTCTGCTCAGTGCTATCAATATTTTATACTAAACATCTGTTCCTTGTATCTCATCTCAGAAATGCTTCTACACTTTATCAGCGCAAGCACAGCTTTTCAAAGCAAATTAAGCTAAACCATTTTCACTTAATCACCAATTGATCACAACACGAAGAATGCCACATATTGATCTCTAAGAGCCCCATTTTTCCCAATTCAGAAAAGCATATTGGAGGAAACACTTGATTTGCAATCAGAGTAAACTGGTTAGGCTTACACTTCTGACATATTTTAAGTAGGAAGTATTTCAGCGATTAAAAGGATAAAACAACATGTATTTTCAACGAGAGGCAAAAAATAGGCAGTTCCCTGCCTTTAGTGTAGAGTCTTAGAGCTACAGGAGACGTTAGAGATCCTCTAAGCTTTATGAATTTTCACTGAGGAATGCCAAAGAGAAGATGGCATTTTTATTTTGGGGGCCACTAGGATGTTAATATCTGGGTTCATTTGAGAATTAGCAGCACAGAAGCAATCTTTCTTCCAAAATTTTGATCAAGGGCCATTACTCCAAGGTAGGGGAGCCTCACGTGAATTTATTGCCAATCTCTGATCTAGTTCAGGAGCTGCCTATTCAAATGCCTGCAGGACCTAGGCAGTTAATGTAAGTGAGTAGGAGGCATACTGTTTCCATGTTCTATGGGTCGGTGCACGACAACTCCAGATGATTGTTGTTGTCTGGTACACATATGGACCCTTTGTTCCCACACGTTACTTTTCAAGATGTAGGGGCCGTTGGAAAACTCTCCTTTGCCCTCTGAAGGTTTGCTGAAAGTAGCTGACAAAAGGCAGATTAATAGGAGAAAAGACACACAAATTTATTTGATCATAGTTTTACCTAACACAGAAGCCTTCAGAATGAAGACTCAAAGATACAGAGGGAGATGCCCCTTTTGATGCTTAGATTCAACAAAGGATGGACACTCATTTGGATACCCATGTAGAAATATAATTGGACGAAAAGGGCATGATCCAATGCTAATGAACTGGGTGGGGAAACACATCAAGGCCTGTCTGGTTAGATTCTTCTGTCTGCTTAGATTCTTCTCTCTAGTTAGATTCTTCTCTCTAGTTAGATTCTTCTAGGCCCCTCTGTGCAGCATTCCTTCTTTCTGGGTGTGAGGCAAGACCCTCTCTGGAATGGGGTAGGGGGGGTCTCATGACCTGCAGTCAAACAATGTAGGTCAGATAATTTCCTTATGGCCAGTTTTATAGAGAAAGGCACATGGAAAGGCCCACATCCCAGGAAACCCCTCAGATCTGGGCAAACTGGAACAATGAATCACCCTATTCTAGATCCACTGATCAGGGTTTGTTGTTGTTGTTGTTTTGTTTTTATTTTTTACCACATTGTGGACCACACCTTTCTTTTTTCCTATCATAAGAACACATAATGGGTTTGTGACCCTCAAGTTTATGTGGGGATGGGGAGGCCAAGGTCCCTGTGGTAGCTTCTGACCACATCAGCTGTGGCACTGCTCCCCAAGCCAGAGATAGGACTAAAGGGGTACAAACAACCAGATGGATTGAATGATTATCTCTGGCATGAAAATCTAGCTTGTGTGACCTCTTATCCAATATCATCCTTAAAAGTCACATGTGATGTGATTGCATATGGTCATTCTGGTTTTATATTTTCTGGATTGTTTAACCTATCTAAAAAAGATAACCTGAAACAAAATCAAACTTTATGGTAATTTTTGTTTTGCACACAAGTTGTTTGTTCACTAAAATTCCTACATTTAGCAAGTTAGTGTGACAGATCTCATTTCAGAAGTCATACAAATTTTAGCCATTTCCAGAGCATGGAGGAGGACCTCAAGGGGAGAGGGAGAGAGAGAGAGAGAGCGAGCAAGAGCACAAGCAAGCCTTTGGAACTGTGAGGTTACAGATCTACTACTCATTTTACTCCAAGACCCAGGGAATCTATCTGTGCTCAGAGTTCCAACCAACTTCAAAGGGAGACTGGTGATCACAGAAGCTCGATGAAATAATGGAACAAGAATAAAATTGGCCCTGTGTGAACTAGATTGCAAAGGCAGGAACCTAGCTTCATTTACCTGAGAAGCTAATGTTTAAATTAAAATCTTTATATGCCCTCTGTAGTTTTCTAGGCATGTAGATTTCCTACCAATGACTAGCCCAGAGAAACTGACAAAGAAATTATGGTGGGATAAAACAAAAGGGACTAGTTTTTCCTTTACACTTTTCAAATGAAAAATGACTTCCCTTACATATGTACTTATCTTTTTTTTTTTTTCCAGAGCCAGCATAGAAGTGACAATTAGAGGATGATTCTTTTTTTTCTTTGGCCCTGAAGGGATCTAGCAAGAGACTTTAGTATTTTTCTCTTTGTAAAATAAAGCCTGGCTTTGAAGCCAGAATCTCTGAAATGAGGCATTGCAAATGTCCTTTGATGAATCAGTCTGTGTGAAGGAGAAAGGAAGAAGGGAGCAGCAGATTGATTGCAGCTAATGTACCTCTCCTGCCATGCCCTTTTAATCTTCCTCAAATGGCCGCGGATAATCAAGAGGTCAATCATGAATCCATCACGGGTCCTTGTCTCAGGGCAGTTTCCAAATTGTTGAAGCTCTCACTCAAATAAGCCATTTAAAGCAGTTAGCCAGACTGGGGTGAGAGTGGGGCATGGGGGTGCTGGAGAAAACATCAACTTCAGGGGTCCAACTGAAGGGAGAGAACATTTCCCCTGAGAAACACTTCTGCAGGATGTGCAGGAACAACTTTACCATCAACTTCCTTCATTTATAACCGAATAAATGAAAACCTTACATTTTGAAAAAGGGGGCAGGCATGCAAAATATTCGGGGTAAAGTGAAAAAAAAATGCACAGAAGAAGACAAGAAGAGAATAAAAAACTCAACTGCAGTTAAAAAACCAGGGAGTTACAAGGTGTAACCTCTGTCGGCTGACACTCCAGTGGCAGTTCTGCGAGTTCTGCTAAATATCCCCTTAGGGATTTCATGCCTCTGGGCGCCCTCTGCCTAAAAGAGAGAGAAAAAAATGAGTTTAGGGGCTGAGAAAGAATTGCTTACATTAGGAAGCCATAATATCTGTGACGTTTACTCAGCGAATGGCTGCCCGCTTGCTGCCCTTAGTAGAAGCACTTGGCAGCTTCGATCTTGCTAGTCCAGAAAGAAATAGCCCTTTCCCTTCCTCCAAGAACATCCTCGACATCAGTTGGCAGCCCCTTTTAAATTTTGGATGAGGTGTCAAATGAAATTTGACAGCTAACTGATAGGTTCAAATTCTCACAGGGCAATCTATCCCTGAGGACACAGAAAAACTAATTCACTGCCAGGCTAGCAAATTTTCAGCGATCCCTATCATTCCACATGCAGTTTGATGTGCAACCAACTGCCTTTTTTTGGTGGAACACTACTTCTTATTAGATAGGCCCCTCTGTGACAAAAGGCAATGATTTTAGAAGACACATGTCGCCACCCCCTACCCCACCCAAAGTTCTCAGAGGTTCCAAAATTTATTTATTTACTGGCAAAATGGAGAATTGCCTCTATTGGTGAAATAATTGACCCCAAAGGTGTTTGTGAAAAAAATGTTAATTTTAATGTCGTTTGTGTCATCCTATAGTCTGTCAAATAATCTTAAACATTCAAAACCATTTAGAAGAAATTTGTTAGTCATTTTCTTTTTTTTAATTAGCATCCTATCTTATTTCTAACCCTGATTACTCTAGCTTTCTCTCATAGATGTGTTCATATTCTCCTAGCTATAAGATTGACCCTGTCCCAATTCTGAAATCAACGGAAACTTAAAGCTAGAAATATTTAAGCAGCCTTAATCTCAACCCCTTCTTAAATGTGGCGGAAGGGCACTGTTACTTGCGGGTTTTTGTTCAATTTACGCTAGCTCACCCTTATTAGACCTGTAGAAATTGGCAAATCACTGAATCATTTGATGTCCTTTTTCTCATTTGTGAAATGAGGATCATAGTAGTACCTAATACAAAAGTATTGAAAGGATTGAATAAAATAGTATCTGACACATAGAAAGGACTCAATAATTGATAGTTTAAGGGAAATAACTATCCGTCTAACAGTAGCCTAGGAAACTGTGCTGCATGATGGCATAATACAACCGGCATTCTCTAACTAAAGCTCTTCAAATATGACCTGGGAAGCAATTAGGTGTTATCAAATAGGTCACTATGTTTCACCACTGTCCTCCAATACCAACTCAGGCCCTTGCCCTTTCTCTGAAATGCTACCAGGAAATGTAGACCTGAGTTCATTGTCTGAGCTGCTCCTATGTTCGAAAGACTGAATTTGTGCTCTGGTCCCTATTTCCAAGTCTCATTTCCTCCAGTCTGTCTGTAAAAGATTGCAGCACTGTTTAAGCAGTGTCAGTCTTATGGAAGAGGGAAGATGGAATGAGCCATGTATTTGCCATCTCAGTTTATAATGAAAGGAGAACAAAACCAGGAGAATTGGAGCTCAGTTTTCTTATTAAATAAAATACTGTTCACTTCTCTGTGCCATAAGTGTCTCAGCTGTGAATAAAGTAGAGTATATTTTCTCAAAGGCCCCTTCTATCTGCATCATCTATAAAATGGGTCAAATTAGCCGTGAACCCTAGTAAAATTTCAAAACAAAGTAACTTGGATGAAAGGTAAGAGTCTTGCCGGGCGTGGAAGCTCACACCTGTAATCCCAGCAGTTTGGGAGGAGAAAGCAAGTGGATCACCTGAGGTCAGGAGTTCGAGACCAGCTTGACCAACATGGTGAAACCTCGTCTCTACAAAAAAATACAAAATTAGCTGGGCGTGGTGGCTCATGCCTGTAATCCCAGCTACTGGGGAGGCTGAGGCAGGAGAATTGCTTGAACCTGGGAGGCTGAGGTTGCAGTGAATTGAGATCACGCCATTGCACTCCAGCTTGGGCAACAAGAGCAAAACTCCATCTCAAAAAAAGAGAGAGAGAGAGAGAGAGAAAACAAGGGGAACTTAAGGGGTCATAACCACAGAAAACATAAACTAGTATATAAAGAAGTAAAAAATAGCCATACTGAGAAAAATAAATGCTAGCCAATTTACTGAATGGACAATATAAATACCTTAGTGTTTGTAATACAAAAAAATGAAACAAAAGATACATGTCACAATGCAGAGTCCCAGCACTAAGAGAGGGTTTATTTAAAGATTACACAAATATTTATTGTTCTCTTGCTATTTGTCAGTTGATTTCTTAGACCCTTTAAGATACATCAGTGAACAAACCAGATGAAGAGATCTGACACTGAGGAATTTATATTCTAGGACAAAAAATAGTAGATAAATAATAAACAGGTAAAGTACTTGGTACTTTAAAGGTAATAAACATTATTTAAAAAATAGGTAATAAACTATAGAAATAAATGGAGATAAGTTGGTCAGATGAAGCAAACAGGGTGGTGAAGACAGGTGGTCATGAGGAAGGTTACATTTGCAGAAATATCTGAAATACGTGAGGGAATTTACCATGTAGCTATTGGAGTGAGGCTCCTCCAGGGAGTGGGGAACATTCATGGGGCAAGCTCTGAGGAAGGAGAATCCCCATTGTTGGTGGGCTGGGGTGCATGAAAGGTGAGGTCAGAAAGTGAAGGCGCCAGCTAGGCACGGTGGCTCACGCCTGTGATCCCAGCACTTTGGGAGGCCAAGGCAGGCGGATCATGAGGTCAGGAGATCGGCACCATCCTGGCTAACATGGTGAAACCCCGTCTCTACTAAGCATACAAAAAACTAGCCGGGCATAGTGGCGAGCGCCTGTAGTCCCAGCTACTTGGGAGGCTGAGGCAGGAGAATAGCATAAACCTGGGGGGCAGAGCTTGCAGTGAGTCAAGATCGTGCCACTCACTCCAGCCTGGACGACAGAGCGAGACTCTGTCTCAGAAAAAGAAAAAAAAAGAAAAAAAAAAAAAAAGGAAAGAAAGTGAAGGAGCATTAAGGCTATTCTAGGAATGGAGGCATTTAAACAAAGTGGGAAACCATGGCAGGGTGTTAAGCAGAGAAATGACACATAATCAGACTGAAATTTCAATGCATTTTCTCAGAAAAGAGTTTGGGTGAGGGCAGCAGACAAAGACAGATGCAAGGGGACCAGCTAGGAGGCTTTTGCAATAATTTAGATTAAAGATGGTGGGGGTAGTGGCTAGGCTTGGAGTAGTATCCCTGGAGGTGATTAAAAATGATTGAATTCTAGATATATTTTGGAGGCAGAGGCAGGAAGGTTTCCTGAAGAATTGGATATGAGTATTTGAGTAAAAGAGGAGTCAGAGAATAGGGAAAGCAGGAGAGGAGGAGTTCAGGGAGATCTGAAGTTCAGTTTGGGGAGTGTGGACACTGCATTGTACCTGACACACTCAAATGCGGATGTCCAGTGGGCAGCTGGTTATATGAGTCTGAGGTTCAAGAGCAATGTCTGTGTTGGAGAAATACATTTGGAAATTGTCATCTACTGATGGTATTTAAAGTCTTTAAACTGGATGGGATCATGAAGGATGAATGCTAAATATAGAAAAGAAGATGGTCATGACTCACTTCAATTTCAAGGGAATGAAGAGATAATGAGAGACTAGCAAAGGAGAGAGAGAATGATTCGTAAAGGTAGAAAAACCCAAAGGAGTGTGGTTTTAGTCATCACACTGGATGAGATCACAAAGAATGGAGAGAAATTCAGAAAGGAAGACTTATGTTAACCTTGACAAGTGCAATGTTGGTGGAGTGGTGTGGCGAAAGTCTTACTGGAGTGAGTTTAAGAAAGAATGTGAGGAGAGGATTGGAGAATGTGGGTAGGAGCAACATTACAAAGAGTTTTGTTGCAAATGAGAAGCAAAGAACCAGAGGTATAACAAAACTGTGATATCAAGAAAATATTCCATTGTTTTAATGTATGAGAAATAATACCACTTGTGGGTTGATGAGAATGATCTAGTAGTAGGAACATCAAGAGAATTGTGCAAGGATGTCCTTAAGAATCCAAAAAGTAGTAGGATATAACATGCAAGACAGGGGCTGGCTTTAGATAATGCTATAGGAATAGACAACAAGCCAGAATAACAGGGCGCAAATGCTAGTAGGTGAGTATATGAGGTGCAGGGAGTACGTAGAGATTTCCTTCCAGTGGATTGAATTTTCTCAGTGAGGTAAGAAGTAGTATCATCAGCTGGGGACAAGTCTAAAGAAGGAATGTTGGAGGATTCAAGAGAGGAGAAGCTATGAAATCATTAACTAGGAAAATGGAAAAATATTTAGACTAGAAAATTAAAGTATGACTGCTTGGTACCATTAGAGCCTCAGTTGAGGTTTTTGTTCATGAAACTACAATGAGACCAGGCAGACTGGTTGTGTGTTCTTCTCTATTGCATTCAAGCTTCACAGGTACCGGTGTAGAACAGGCAGACAGCTTTTGTAGGGTTGTGGTTTTACCAATTGAGTATAATAAAGAAAAGTGAAAGTCAAAATATTAGTAAGGAGGTATTTATAATAACTGACCACAGAATTAATATATGTAGGGAAAACAGTAAGGATAATAAATGAAGAGCTACAGTAAAAACTTGATAAGATCAATTGACTGGGGATGTGAATGTCATTAAAGGAGGCTGAGTCCTAGAGGGAGTCAGAAATATTGAAGGCAGAAATGGTGCATATAATTGATATTGAAGGGTTGCAGTTATTGGTATTGATTATGTATGATTAGAACATTCTCTCAAGGTCTGACCTTGGGAGTGAGTTCCTGAGGTGAGGTGGAGATAAAAAAATCTTCAGAGAAGATGAATTTAAAAAATGAGGATCTAAGTTGTTAGAAGGAACATCTGCCACCAAGAATAAAAACTGGAGTAGTGTTGGAGAGAATGACAGTAAATCCTGTGGTAAAATCATCTTAAAATGAGAAGAAATGACCTGGGGTCCAGTGGTTGACAGTAACTATAAGGAATACTGATGATGTAATCTGATAGCTTGAATTTCAAAGCTGGAATTTTTAGGGAAATGTAAAGAAGGATAATCTGAATTGAGTATTGAGAACAAGAAGGGCACCTGTCTCATGTGTAGTACAGGAAAATGCAGGCAGGGAGAGTGCAACCCACTAGGGTAAGTAGCATCCTCAGGGGAGGGCCGGGTAATAAAAAGAGGTAATGGGACCATCAAAAACAGAACAAAAAACCTTGTTGGTAGAATTTGAATATTCTAACTCAGATTTAGAACGTATTAGAACAATTGTGCCTTCTGTGTTATTTTCCTTTATATGAATTCATAGTTCATTGATGGATTGATTTCACTCAATGAATTTAAATAACAGAGCAATATTGTCAGATACTAGAGTTATTGTAATCCTTAACTCTCAATGACACACCAAGAGAAAAATTAATAAACCTCAGGTAAAATAGGTGCACCATTTAAAATGGGTCTTCTGTTTTGATTCTCTCTTCTTTGAGCAGATGAGAAAATGCAATGAATGGTGTTCTTGTTGTGTGGAAGAAGTAACTGTATACTGTTATTTTCAACTTCGATCAATCATTTCCAGCTCATTTCCTATTTTCCTTTTAAAAAACCTACCACACCAAGAATTTCAATAGCAGCATGTAAAATAATTTGGGCAGCTGACAGGCAATTCAATTCCCTGGCGGATTTTTAGACAATCGGACACCCAGGAAAAACTTGTAAATTTGTTTTATTCATGGTCAATTTGCTATGGCACATTTTTCTCTACCAGCTCAACTCAACTTCTTACTCAAAAGAGAAGTGGAGCATCGCTAGGTAGGAGCACAACTGGGTTAGGTGGTTAACCAGGCACAGATCATCATTTCTGCAAACAAGCCCTCTCTCTTTGCCTCCTGCATTCTTAAACGAGTCACATTCGGGTCTCTGTTCATCCATTACCAAGTTCCTGCCGGACTCTTCTGGCAGGAGACACAAACATAATTCCTCTCTTGGTAACTCTTAGAGCGAGTGTACTCTGAGGCAACTACCAGAAGAGTAAGAGAACAGTGGATCCATGGGCTAGGAGCTAGAGAGCTGAGGTGGAACCAAGTAGAAGTCCTTTGATCAAGTAACAATGTATGGGCTACGATAAATACAGCACAAGGAATGACTAGATTTACCGTAAGAGATACCTAAACTCTATCAAACAAGAGGAAGCTAAACATGACCTTTTCTATTGTTTAGGGGTGTCTTATAAGAGCCCAAAAGCCAGCAACAATAGGTACCAGAAGAAGGGGCTATGGTTAAAGTAGACTGTCGTTCTACCAATGGTAGAAGAAAGGACAGATGTGGACTCTGAGTAAGGGAGCTAATTTTACTGTCTTAAAAGAGATTCTGCCCAAGGAAAGCGCTGGGAGGGCAAAGCGACCTCAACGCGGGCACTAAAAGTCAGTGGCATAGGGAAAGTTGTAAGAAGCCAAATAGAGGATAATGACTGAGCCAACAGCACACGATTAGAGATCTCCAGTGGGGTGTTTCCAGGGACAGTGGTACCACATCTCCCCAGGGAAAAGAATAAAAGAGAATTTTCCTTTGAACATCTGCCTCGCTCAGAGGCATCAATGCCAGATTACAACTCTGCCACCTGCCAAATGGATCTGGGTAAGTGAACGTCCTGCCCTATCTATGTTAGGAGGAATGTTATTTAGCTGGTTATTACTGTATAGAAATAAAAGCCTGTTGTCATATTTTCCAATTTAAAAAAAAAAAAGAAAACAATCTAAGTCTTTATTTTATAAATGTTTATTACTCATTAAAAGTATAATTTTTCATTGGCTGCATAGTAAATTAAACATCCCAACAGACCAGATAGAGCCCATGGTACAATATTTTGAACCCTCTGATGTTGGCTGTAGTACAACCAGTAAGGTCTAGTATAGCTATATCTCAGCTATGATCTTTATTAAGAAATTTGCTGTGGTTTAAGCTTTTTTTTTTTTCCTTCTTTCCTAAACCTTTTCCTCTTTGTAATGGTAGAAATGTTGTTTAGTAATGTCTAAAAATCTCCAGAAATAGGCTGTTTAGTAATCTCTAGATACTTTTTCTTTAAATTATTATTTTGAAATTAAATTTTAAAAAATTAAAATTTTGTTTTTGAGAAATAATTGTATATATTTATGGGGTACGATGTCATGGTTTGATACATGTTTATATTGTGGAATGATTAATTAATTTATAAATCCATCACCTCACATACTTATCATTTTTAAATATATATCTTTTTAGGCCTTTATTTAGTCATTTGCTCAGTCAGGTCTTCCCAGACTATTTAACGTCCAGATATTCTATGATCTGGATGTCAGCAAGTGACTGATTATCAATTCTATCTATTAATCTATCTGTATGTCTGTGTATCTATATATCAAGGACATTATTATTTTTTAAGCACCTTATTTCTATCCTTGCATTCTGTCTTTTTTTTTTTTTTTTTTTTTTTTTTTGAGATGAAGTCTGGCTCTGTTGCCCAGGCTGGAGTGCAGTGGTGTGATCTCAGCTCACTGCAAACTCTGCCTCCCAGGTTCATGTGATTCTCCTGCCTCACCCTCCTGAGGAGCTAGGATTACAGGCGTGCACCACCATACCCGGCTAATTTTTCTATTTTCATAGAGACGGGGTTTCACCACATTGGCCAGGCTGGTCTCGAACTCCTGACCTTAAGCGATTCACCCACCTCGGCTTCCCAAAGTATTGGGATTACAGGCGTGAGCCACCAAAATATTGGGATTACAGGCGTGAGCCACCAAGCCCGGCCTTGCTTTCTGTCTTGATTTCACTTCTGTTTCTTTTCAAAGATGCAAACAGTAAGTATACAATTAAAAAATACAGAGGTGAGTAGAAATAAATATTTTAAAAATCTCATTATCACTGTGGTTATGATCTCACTGGTAATGGTTTGATTTCACTGGCAATTTGTTTGAAGAGTTTCTCTATCTCTCTCTGCCTCTGTCTTTCTCTCCCATCCTTCCTTCTTCCCTCCTCCCCCTTTCAGAGTACGAATAAATAAATAAATAATAAATAAATAAGCCCTCCATGGAGGAGGAAAATAACATTTCTATTGCCTTTTCTCAGCCTCCTTCCCCTTTTACATGCTTAGATAAAAACACAAATACTCTGATGTTGATTCCATCATAAGAATTTGACCTGAAGCATGTACAATAAATATAAATTTGAAACTTTCCCTCCTCCTTTAAATGTGGAAACTAGGATGGAAGACTCTTTTGTGTAGAAAAACATCTTATTTGAATATGCATGGGTAAATCCTAAGATTTAGCTGGAATAGGAGAGGTTGAAACACAGAAAGGGCAATTTGCTTTGCATAATAATGTAATGTGAATTTTCCACTTTCCCCAGGAGGCTTGAGAAGGAGGATGTTGGGAGATGGGAGTGGCTTGAGATTCAAAGAAGCTAGAGAGTAAAGGCGATCTTTACTGGGTGGGTGCTGAGTCATCCTAATGGTGTGAGATGTTCCCTCACACTATTAGTGTGACATGAGTGTGTAACTTCAAAAGCACAGACTTCCAACTTACAAATGTAAGTTACTGTCTACTGTATGCTGTAATTCCCTGCCTTTATCTGCAAGTCTCCCATGAGGCTTACATAGCCCAGCATTGTGTGTGATTGCTGCTCTGGAGAACAGTAAACAGGAGGCTTCCTTCCTGTTCTGAGAGAAGAAAACCAAAATGAGCAACAACAGCCTGCAGGGAAAGTAAAACAACTGGGGAAGTTCAGGAGCAGCAGTTGGAAGCTACAGTGATAAGTTATCATCAAGAGAATGTGGCTGGGTGTGGTGGCTCACACCTGTAATTCCAGCACACTGGGAGGCTAAGGTGGGAGGATTGCTTGAACCCGGGACAGCCTGGGGAATATAGCCAGACGCCCGCCTCTATAATAGAAAGAAAAAGAAAAGCAAAGAAGAGAAGAGGAGAGGGGAGGGGAGGGGAGGGGAAGGGAAAGAAAGGAAAAGAAAAGAGGAAAAGAAAAGAAAAGAAAAGAACATATGACCCAAAAGGTCTTAACGTTTCTTTCAGCTTAACTAAGTTTTACATAGGTTTCTTTCTGACTCCAGGGCTCTGACCTCCCTTTTCTTAGATAATTTACTTCAGAAAACAACTTTCAGTTGAAAATTCTTTCTCTCCCCTTTTGAGATGTAAATCTTCTTTCAGACTCTTACCAGGTGTACAACCCAGGATTGTCTTTCTGAAGACCTGGGATCTCTCCCTTTGAAATGTAAACATCAAGAAAGGCAGAACCATCTCCTATTCTCTGTGGGAGAGTAGGAGCCTAACTTCAATACATTTCAATTAGCAAACACAGAAGGCCTAATCACATCGACTAGCCTCCTGCCTAATCTCCTCCAATACTTTTCCATTAGCTCACCCCAGCATTTAAAAACTCTTCCACTTTTTGTTTCAAATGGCATTGAGTTCAATCTCCCCTATTGCAATAGTCTTGAATAATCTTCCCTGCTGTTTTAAAGAAATGCCTGGTGCAATTTCTCTTGGCTATCCCACATCTCAGGAATCACTGGAAAACTGGGGAGGAGATCTTTGGACTGGGCACAGCCATGCAGTATGGTAGATCTGGGTTGGGAGTACCTGCCTAGAATCTTTTTTTTTTTTTTTTTTTTTTTTTTAAGGAACTACCCCTCCCTACTCTCCATAGCTTTGTGGGAACTGCCAATCAATGTGCCTCCCCTCTCTATTCCCCCGCCAAGTGGTGGACAAACGATCGGGGCTGAGCTGGACCTGTGAAACTCTCAAGGGTAAGTGCATCTTTAATCGAATGGCTCAGGACAGAAAATGTTGAAGTGAATTCATCCCAGTGTCAGCAGCTTAAAGACACTATTCATTAGCGTCTGCATGCCAGAGTCCAGGAGCTCTTTTCACTCCAACTCTGCTATGAACTGTAGTTCTTGAGTTGTTTCATCGGTTTTGCTGAGCTACTAAGCCACCCTACAGCCTTCCCTTATCACCTCTATTTTTTTTTTTACATGATCCATTACTCGCTTTTTCCTACTTGCAATAAAAGAATGATAACTGGTATGTGTAAAATGGGAACTAAGCTCATTTTCATATGTATATATAATAAACGACAGAAAACCCTGGCAGTACATCGGTCCCATCCCACCCATACTATCCTATTTAATCCTCTTTCTCCTTCCTCCCCTCTTTCCTGTTTTTCTGTTTTCTTTCAATCCATTGTCTATGCATGTGTCTATGTTGGTTGATGCATACAGATTTTAATTACATATATATTTTATATATAGATATATAATTAAACACATGCACACATATATGTGTGTGTGTGTATGTTTTTTTTTTTTTTAATTTTTTTCTTTTGATACAGAGTCTTGCTCTGTCACCCAGGCTGGAGTGCTGTTGTGCGATCTTGGCTCACTGCAACCTCCGCCTCCCGGGTTCAAGCAATTCTTCTGCCTCAGCTTCCCAAGTAGCTTGGATTACAGGCATGCACCACCACGCCCAGCTAATTTTGCATTTTTAGTAGAGACGGGGTTTCGCCATGTTGGCCAGGCTTGTCTTGAACTTCTAACCTCAGGTAATCCACCTGCCTCGGCTTCCCAAAGTGCTGGAAATTACAGGCGTGAGCCACCACGCGTGGCCCAGATTCTAATTATATTTTTAATGTAGCTTTCTTAGTTTAGTTCTTACTTTGTTACCCTTTCTTTTTCTTCTTTTATTCATTTCTCTGTTTCTTGAGACCAATTCTGGCCACATCTTTGGCCCATCAGTTTGGTTCTTACTTTGTTATCCTTTCTTTTTCTTCTTTTATTGATTTCTCTGTGTCTTGAGACCAATTCTGGCCACATCTTTGGCCCACCAGTGACTTGTAAACATGTCTGCAACCAGTTGCATGAGTTTTGCTTCTCACAGCTCCAGGGAATGCAGGCTGCTACATGGAGCCCTGAGGTGCTGCCTGTGAAACCCACTTGCTTGCTGAGAGCTGTTCAGGGGCTGTGAAGCCACTGATCTCTTCCAGTTCTATCACTGAGGCTATGATGAGCATTCTCATTCTTTTTTTCTCCTCTGTGCTGTTTTCCAACCCTTATACAAATCTCTGATTTGCATTCAAGGAAGGCTTCATAATTTCATAGTCTTGGATCAATATACAAATACAAGAGTCAAAACATTTACATATAGATGGTAACAGGGAGGAAAGTAAGGCCTGGATGTGTTTTCAAATCTGTCTACTCTGCATTAGAAAATGCAAGAAATAAACAAAAAAGAAAGCACATGACTTAAAGTTAATCAGACCTCTGTTAGGATCTTGGCTCTGATGTTCAAAAGCACGTCAACATTTGTTTCTATTGTTGTTTCTGTTGTTTTAATACCATTGAATTTTCTCAGTTTCCAAATCTGTAACACGAAGCTTATAATTTCTGCTTCGGGGTTTGTGTGAAACTATGTAAATGAACCTCTTTAGTGCCTAATAAAAAATGCACACTAAATAAATAGCAGTGATGATAATGTCATTGATTAATTACTGTTATTTTTGTTATTGTGATGAAAGTGATCCCTAACCATAATACATTACATTGGTGGGAGAAAATCCATTATCAGTAAATATCATTGCACTAGGTATGAGCATTAGTAACAAAAGTAAAAGCTTTTGCAAAGGAAAGGGGTAAATTTCTCTTAATAAAGCCGGGTCCACAATGGACAACAAAAGAGTTATCACAGGAACCCTGTTGGGAAAACACAAAAACTTGGAGGGCACAGAAACCTTTTGTTTCTCTAAATGTAGAGCGATTTCCTGCCAGATGGGGTTTAGTAAGTGCTTACAACTCCAATATAAATAGACAAAAAGACTTAAAATCGGTAAACACAATCTAGATATAAATAGTACAACCTCATCTTTTATGTCACTTAAGTAATTAAAACGCTTCTCATTGAATAATGAAGTTATTTAAGGAGAAACATCAGAAAAGCATCCAGCCGGCAGATCTAACTGCTTTTGCCTCGAGTGACATGTTCCCAGCAGTGGGTTATATTATGCCTTCATAAAACGTGTTCTGTCATTTTTTTCAGTGCTGTTATTTTTGGCGGATAGTAAGAAAAAAGTATCTATCTATGGTGTATGAAAGCTCTGGATATAAATAAGGAAGGGAGTGATTCCTGACGCAGGTGAAGCCCTCCAACAACTTGAAGCAAAACCTGTCCAACCTAGAGGAGTGAAAGCAGCACTCATTTGTAGAAATCTACAAGTGCAGGGATTTTAACCCTGGAACATGGGTTTCACCTTATCACATACGTTTTTAACAGAAATTGCAACTAGATTAAGGGCATGATCATAGAGTGGGATTTTTGCCCTAGGTTAGCATTTTTACACAATATTTTAATAGGTGCCTTCTAAAGGAGCTTCCATGATGAACTAAGTTTGAAAAACACTAGGTTAGCAAATTTAAGTAGATTTCACCTCATTTTCCATCCAGCCTCCCCACTGCCCAATGGTAGAGCTATTGCTGTCTACTGTCTGTCTGTTTTCTCTTTCTGTCTTAATAGTTGGACCTAGACTCAAGTTATACTACATCTCTCAGTCTCCGTTGCAGTTAGGGGTGGCTGTAGGACTGATTTCTTCCCAGTGGAATGTAACTTAATGTGAGATATGTTAATTAATATTAACATTAATTAACGCATGCCCCGCTCCGTCTTCCTGCATCACAATTCTTTAGTCAATCATTGTTTATAGTTGAAGTTTTTGCCTTGTTCTTTCAGAATAAACTCCTAACTACTCTCACCTCCTCCGACCTGCCAAATAATACCCACATGCTTGCAAAATAGTTGGTCTGTCACAAGTGTTTTCTTGGCCCCTGAAACTTCCCCTGAGGATGCCTTCATAAGCTCTCAGACTTCCTGCTGACTGCATGAAAATACCTTAGGTTTATCCAGGAAGCCATCTTTTGAAAATGACAGAACTGCTGTCATTTTGGGTTCTAGAATTATTCCATAGAGAAACAACTTTATTTATTAACTTAAAACGGCCATCTAGAATCACTTTGCCAGAGTCCCAACCCTCTCTCCTCCACTCTGCACACGATTTTTCAAAATCTGAAAAATTCAATGGTGAATAATGAGGTTTTAGATTTCAAAAGTGGATCTTTGAAGTCTCTATTAAGGAAAACACAGGTGTGACAAAACAACAATTTTAATCTGCAAGCTTGTGGGTATCATTTGGCAGGTTGGAGGAGGTGAGGGTAGATGGGGGTCCATTCTGAAAGAACAAGGGAAAAACTTGAACTGTAAACAATGACTGACTACAGAGTTGTGATACAGAGCCTGGCACATAGCTCACGCATGTAATCCTAACACTTTGGGAGGCCAAAACTGGTAGATTGCTTGAGCTCAGGAGTTTGAGACCAGCCTGGGCAACATGGTGAAACTCTGTCTCTACAAAAAATACAAAAATTACCCAGGCATGGTGGCTCACACCTGTACTTCCAGCTACTTGTAGGGCTGAGGTAGGAGGATCCCTTGAGCCAAGGAGTTGGAGGTTGCAGTGAGCCGAGATCACGCCACTGCATCCAGCCTGGGTGACAGAGTGAGACCCTGTCTTAAAAAAAAAAAAAAAAAAAAAAAAAAAGAGTTGTGATGCAGGAAGACAGAGCAGGGCATGAGGAGAGAGAGGTCATTACAGCCACCTAGCCTGGGAGAGACCACAGTGAGTTGGCTTTGAGAGATGGGCTGGTCTCTGTTTGAATGGGACTCCCTCCACAGTCACCAATAGGGAACTATAGAGAAACCTATCAATGATCAGAGTGAGTCCTTTGCCATTCAAAACACCACTCCCATTTTGCCTGTGCCCAGGGGCATGCCTGTTGCCCTTCCCTTTGCTCATCCTCTGGGAGCACTCCCCTCCATAGCCATCTCCACTGTTCCCTAGGATCTTCTTGGGGAGTAATTTTGCCAATTCTTTCTTAGCCCTTTTGTCTGCATTATGATTGTAAAATATTCAGAAATCTTGCAAGCCACTTGTTAAACATAAGTAGCCTGTAATCAGTCATGGTGGAATATTTACACCATGAACACTGGCAAAGCTGGCATTACCCGTGCCTGTGAGCTCCATGATATAGGTAGTAGAGACATGGCCTGGGGAGCCCATGGAAAAGAGGGAAAAACCCTCATCACTGCATTTAGATAGTATAAAACTGAACATAAACAGTTGATATCTCCCACACTATTAATGTCACCTACACATCACCAATGATTATTCATTGAGTACTATAATATATTAAGTTCTGGGATTGTGAATATATTCTAACAAAAAATAAATGTTACCTATAGATGCTTTTCACCACTTAAATCCCTTGGGAGGAAATATTTTGAGACTTATAATTTCAAATAAAATGAAAACACAATAATAAACTAAAATAATCTATTTCTAATAATTATGATACTTGGCTAAAAATATGAAGAATATACTTACATAGACGGGAGGCAAAAAATAATCTGATCTCCATAGTGCATAATTGCCCTACCATGAAATCAGGATTTTCTTTCCCTCTGTCTTTGAAACTATTCAAGCAAAAGACCATTAATTGCCTGATGATCCTGCAAAACATGTTTACCTCAGGAAAACTGTTGGGCAATATGGAAACCACAGGAGTGGATTAGGCTGCCCACGCAAACGCTCTATGTCATCTTCAATTTAAGGTTTGATGAATCAGAGCTGAAAAATGTGATCCCCCTACCTGTTTCTATGAAAAAGTTAAGTAGCAAAAAGTCTCTAAACATTATTTCTCTAGTTTCTTATTAATAACATGACACTACTGTAAATTTTAGAAGCTGTGCTCCCCACGACCTCTCAAAGGTCGTTTGTAACTACATCTCCTATGAGCTATGAACCCTTGCCTTTCACAGAATAAAGTTGATCTGCTGACAGTAATGAGACAAATATGTATTAGCTTCATGCCTCAGAAACTGTAGTGCCCCTAGTGAATCCTTGACATTTACTGTGTGCAATTTCCCTTGGTGTAAAACGCAGTTTAAAAAACAACTAGAACGCATGAACATGCTGGCAATAGCTATGTCAGCCAAGAACTGACTCATTTAAACGAAGTTATAACCTATTCCTTGAGTACTGACTAGGGTGTGTGAATAAAATAGCAGTAGATACTTGGATGAGATGTTTAATGCAAAATCATGCTTTAACCGCAGTTTCTTTTTATTTAAATCAGGACTTCATCATTTAAAAAAATTCTAGCTTTTAGGAATGTGATTTTCTTACACATCAGGATTTAATAAGCTAAATCTGATACTATCACTCTTCAACACTTAGAAGAAAATCTAAAATCCAAACCCTTTCAGCACTCTGTGATTTAACTGTTGTGTACCTCATCCAAGTTATTTTCCCACCACTGTCCATGGCCATGTCATACTCTGGTCTTCTGGCTCTCTGGCTCTGAGATGCCAAGCCCAGCCAGCCTCCAGAGTTTGGCATTTGACGGTCCTTATCTTGCAATGTTCCTTCTCACCATTAATAGGTTGCATACCTGGACCCTTTTCCTCCTTGCTGGCATAGCTCAAATTTCTCCTTCTCAGAAAGACTTTCCTTGGCCACTCAACAAATTTGGTCATGGTCACTCACTCTTTCTCACATTACTCTGTTTTTATATTCCTCATATCATGGTATTTTTTTTGCCTCCCTTTATTACAATAGAAAATGAGCTCCAGACAGTAGTAGCCCTTGTCTGTCGCTGGGTGATTAAAAAGTTGTACCAATCTTTATATTTTGAGAATGTTCTGTTTTCTACTGAGCATGGGTATTTGGAAATACTTTGAAAAGTACTTGCAAAATCTTTGCAATGGATCATAGAATCTATAAAAAATTGAATCCAGAAAGATTATCTACTCCAACTGCCTTGTTTTAAAGTTGAAAATGTGGAATTGAAATAGTAAACATTTCAAACCTGTCTCTGACATATTGGAATCTATTATGAAGACTTAGCTTTAAACAGGCCTTAACAAAAAGTTTCAGAAGTTTTGTCTGAAATTATCAAAATGTTTGAAAATTAGACATAACTTATTTTTTGAAATTCTGATGAAAATTTGAATCTTTCTTGTAGAGCAAAAACCTTTTGCTTAAGTACAAAAATTTCCCACAGTCTTAGGGGTCTCATGTATGATTCTCTAAATTGTTTCCATTCTCATTTTCAAAGGTCTACATGAAAAACTTATTCATTCATTTATTCAGTCTTACCTTAATGCTTATGAACCACTTTAATAGGCAAAACAGGGAATAAGAACTCAAGAACACAAAAAGTTTTCCAACAAACGGAACTAAAAAGAATGACATGTAAGTAATTGTTAAACAACAAACGTCGCAGAGATGTCACAAAAACCATCACCTCCGAATGGCTTACTGTGTCATAAAGTTTGATAGGTGGATTTCTAATTCTCACATTTTCCCTGGAAACTAGGAATGTTTATTTTTATTTTATAGGCAAATACCCCCGAGGATTAGTGATGTTAAAAACAAACAAACAAAAAAACTTTGTCCAAAGTCACACAGTTCATTATTGAAAAGCTGGGAATCTGACTCCAAAGATCATAATTTTCAACTTTATTCCATGTGCACAGAAGCCTATGGAACATTTAGGAATGGATGAGTTTAGTGTATGGAGCCCCACACAGTCCACAATTTTTGGCCAGGTTCTCTGAATGCCTTTCTGGCTTATGAGCTATAATGTGTGCAGGCTAACTTAGGTGCATGTCATTGCTCTAGGCAGAAACTATGTGAACTAGGCGTTCATACAGCTCAAATTGGCATGTGTCTTTCATTATTTAAAACAAAAACTGAATTATTAAGAATAAGTTTTACAGAATAAATACAAGTATAATGTATTCAAAATGGTAAAAATCAAAATGCAGAGGAATAGGGATGATAAAAAGTCATGTTCGGTGATAAAAGGTTTTGGACAGAAATCACTAGGAGTTCCACCGTGGTTTAGATGAATGGAGAGAGATGAATTCAGACAAATGCAATCCTGAGGGCTTTACTAGGAACAAGGCTGGTCAGCCACCGTATACAATGATACGTACTGGAAGAGTTCCATTTTGAAGCTTCAGGGAATTCTTCTGAATGGGTGGTTGTCATGCCTACTAGTTGTTATTTATTTTAAAAACTGCCCTGACTAGCACCTTAAAGGGGGAATTCAAAAGGAATAAGACAGGTTTTAAGCACAGATGTTTTAGGTATCATGTCAGCTACTTCCTATATTGAGTCTCTTACTATCTACCTACAAGGTAGTGGTCCTTATTTAGATTTTATAGATTTGGAGAAGAGGCTGAGAATTGAAATTCTTTGCCTAAGATTAAGCAACAAGTATTTGTATAGGTCACTTCTTGTTGTTATGTAGCTACCCAGCATTCATTCTTCTTTCTTCTGGTATATATTCCTTTATCAAGGAAATATAGTATATAACACTATTGACTTTGAGATTCATATTCTTCAGAATTTCCTCCATGGTGTGTATAACACTAGATTTCCATGGTAAACCATCTCTTTCAAAAATGTGAGTCCATACTCCACTCTAGGCTTGAGGGATGTCCAAACAAGTGTATTTTTTCTCTGGACATAGTAAAACCTTTGTAAAGGATCATGACCCCAGTCAAGAAAATTCAGAATCCAAAGGGAACTTTCATCTGAAAGATTGGGAAGAGACACGTTCTTCTTTGCTGGGAAGAGAGTTTTGAGGATGTAAGTCTGATACTACTGGAAGCCAACCTAAGAGGAGCGTCTGTTTCGAAATATACTAGGAAACAGAACACATGGATAGAGAACAAATATTTTAGATCTTATGTTCATATGTACCTGAAGTCATAAGCCTTTCTCTGAATTTTTCAATTCCACTGACCAGTACAATCACTTAATTGCTTAAGCCACATGGATTGGGAATTTCTATTACACACAGAAGCATCTTTGGAAAACTTTGGAGGCATTTTTTGTTGTTAGTACAATATGAGGGTTTTACTAGCATGACACAGGAAAGGATCAGGGATTCTTAATGTTCTGTAAAGTTGTAGAAAAATTCTACAAAGGGAAAAACTGTTCTGCCGCAAATGCCAATATTGCCCCTTAGAGAAACACTGGTTGCTGAGAAGTGTGTTACTTGGAGGAAATCTTGCACATAGCCTGCATATAAATGAAAACATATGTATAAAGTTTAGGAGATAATAAGGATACCAATAAGATCTCAGGGGGGCTTATATATGGCAGTAGGAAAGTACAGCTAGAAAAGCTCTGCTGTTGACAGTATGTAAAAGATATGCATTTGCAGTTTATCTCAAGGTAATGGGGAACCATGGAAGGTTGTAGAGGAGGGGGATAATGTGATAAAAAGCAGTGTTATGACTAATTTAGGAAAAGTATATTGGGCAAATTACAAAGTAGAAAGAAAGGAGGCAGAAAAACTGAGTTGGCTTAAGACCTACTCAGTAGGTCTTTATAGAAGAAAGAACATACTGACTCTGTTTTTGTTGTTGCTTCCTCAGCATATTAAGATTAGCTATAAAATAAGAGTACAATAAGAAATCAGCCTTTGTGGCAATGTGTGCGTGTATGTGTGTGTGTACGTGTGATGGCTAAAGTCCAAATAGAGGCTATGACCAAAAACAGAAAAAGAAATACTACCATCATGATATGAAGTGTGTTTCTGGTTCTTCTGTACATGAGAGCCATTTTCTTCGCCTAGGCAAGATCATTTTTTTATTTGATTAGAACCACACAGCTGTGAAATGACTGAATATGAATTGGATAACCTCACACATCAGACATTAATCCAAGTTTGAACTTTAAGAAGAACATACTTTATACAAATTATGTAGAATGAGGCAAACTACAGTATATTTAGTAAGCATACATTTGTAAAAATATGTATTTCCATTTCTGCCAGTACAGAAAATAAATTGCTTAGTTTTTCCTAATTGTTAAAGTGATAGAACACATATCTGTGATATTTATTGACTCTGAGATTCATATTCTTCAGACTTTCCTCCATGGTGTATGCTTTGTTTTTGATAATCAGTATTTTATCTACCAGAAAATGTGTTAATTGTCAGCAACAGGCCTACCATGTAATTGAAACACAAAACTGGAAGATGACATTTTCTCTTGTTTCTGGGAAGTTCAATTATTGAAACTGTAATATTACACCAGATAGTTAACTAATCATATTGATACTTCTAATTCACTATTTTTGTCTTCACCTTCCTTGCCCCAAAATTGATACATTGAAACCTGAAACCCAATTGTGGCTGTATTTGGAGATGCCGCCTCTAAGGGAGTAATTAAGATTAAAAAGAGGTCAGAAGAGTGGGGCCCTGATCCAATAGGAATAGTGTCTGTATAAAAAGAGACATGACAGAACATACACGTGTTCTGTCTCTC